>NC_000007.14:146579591-146731107 GCF_000001405.40 Homo sapiens
TGCTGCTGACTGCCCGCTAGAGACTCACTCATTGAAAGATATGTAGTTCATCATTCATCATTTCACAAATTTGGTTCCAGGAAAAGACTAAAAATTACCCTAGGCACAAGCTGTTTAATTTCCACCCCCTCACATGAATCTAACAAACAACCAAAAATACAAACGACATTGAGTAGAAAATAAGATGTAAGTTTTGGTGCCTCAGTGTCATATAATGTAAAGGTATTTATGTGAAAATAACAGCTTGCCTTGAAGTTTCTTAGTGTACATAATATTGCAGAGAATAACCCCTTTCACTTTTAACCCACGTTCTCTTAAACCTCTTTCTGATCCTATTTCCTGACTCTTACTTGCTGCTTGTAGAAGCTCATGATTCTACAATTTTAGATCCAACCAAGGCAGCAAGCTCAAAATTCACCCCCAAACACACTCTTTCCCCTCACCTAACCAATTATATTTCCTATGCTTAAGGCATGTATTTTCAGTAAGCAGTTAAAAAGACAGCATGACTTTTTTATTAAACCCTAAATAATCATATATAGCTTTTCTGGTTTATTAATGTATAGAATAATTCTGCAGTGGTAGAAATTTAACAGGGGAATTTTATCCATAACTATCAATTTCATACTTTACCTAGATAACCAGAATTATGTGACTTGTTTGTTGAAAGTAACATGCGTTGTATGACTTGTTTGTTTTTTATTGAAGTTTGCATCTCAAATGATAATTTAAAGTTTTTGTTAGTGAAAGTAGGGCAGTGACCACACCTTTATATAACTATTATTACCTTGATTAATTGCTACATTGTAAAAGAAAATATTTTCTACAATTACAGAATCCTCAGAACAACTCTGAAAACAAATGAGGTATTATCCCCAATTAAAAAAAAAAAAAAGATTCAAGAGATTTAGTAAGTACTTCGGCAAGATCTAAATATATGGAAGCAAATTAGAAACAAACCACATTTTTCTGAGCTCAAAGCCCAAACTATTTTCTGCCTATTTCATTATTTCTTCTTTCCTGGCCCACACTCCTGTAAGTGTATGTTTCGTCTTAATATATGATGTTTGCTTTATTAAGTGCTTGTAATGAAGAATGCTTGTCAATTGAGATCATATTTAGGAAATGTTAGAATTGCTGATTTGTTTTGTGATAAATATTATTAAAATGTAAGCTCAAGGTAAGCTGGATATTTTGTACGTTTTCATCAAAGCTTTATCCCCATTACCTAGGTCAGTCTGTGCCTGGAAAATAGCAGTGGGTAGTTAATAAATGCTGAATAAATGGGATGTTTAGATACATTTGGCCAAGCGACACTCTCACCTCAAATTTGTGTGAAAAATCACCCCAAGAAATAAAAGGCAATTAGAGACAATTGAAAAATTAATTCAGCTGATAGAACCACTTGTCAAATATTACATAATTCAGAACAATATGACTGAATCATGATGAAGGCTAAAATTCTGGGTCTTAAGCAACTTTAAACCTTTCAAGGAAAGGCTGATTGACAAACACACCTTCTGTGTTTAATCAATGCCACAAAACATACGGACCCAAGAATTGGTGGAAATCTAGACTCATCTTCAGAATGGTAAATTATTCTTGAGTTATAAGGCCTCCATTGCCTAAGTGACTAAAATGTATGTTTCCAGAAAGATTTAGCATTTTCCTACAGGTTATTATATGCAAGAAATGCCTTTCTCCAACAGGTGATAGAAAGGTCAGAATCAGCCATCTCCTAAGATACTTTATTTTATTTTGTTATATTGCAATAATATGCAATGCTTCAGTGTTATACCAATGAAATAAAATGATAAATTATAATAGCAGTAGCTGAGCTTTCCAAGATTATACAAATTAGGTTTAGAATTGAAATTTTATGAAAACAATAATATTTTAACTGCGGATAGAATATTGAAAGTGACCTATGCTGAGAGAAAAAGGAGAAAATTTAGGTTACAAAAATATCAGATGCATTAATCCAACATAATTTTGTAAAATGGTTATCAAAGGTCAACACTCAATGTAATGTATTATAATAAACAAGAAAATGATGGCCATTTTTAGCAAAAAAAAAAAGGATTATTTGAATAATCCAATTTTATTTTACTTAGAGACATTTTTCATATAAAATTAGAATGAAATTTATGTTTTAAGCTACTTTAATCATACATTTTTGTTGTTGAACAGGATGCTAAGGTACAGAGGAAATCATGCTTCCAAGTTGATTGCCAAATAATAGTAGCATTGTCTAAACTCAACTAGAAATTTTGTCAATGCTTTTTTTTCTTATTGCCCAAAATGATGCAGTGAGAATTGATAAGATAAGGATATTCTGACCACGAGGAGTTTACAATCTAGAAATGTGGTCATATGCATAAATAGCTGTAATACAATAATGACTATGGCAACAGTGAAGAACAAAAGAGTGATCTGGCAATAAGAAAAAATAAGATTTCTGTTCCCTCTAAAGAAGCCCTTTCTAGAACTCTAGTGAAAGTTAATGGGTAATCAATCTACCATCACAAGTTAATGGGTAATCAATCTACCATCACAGAAAAAGTCTAGTCTGGAGTGGGTGACTTCAAGAAAAGGTTTCCCCATAGCAAAATCAAGTGTAACTTTCCAAAGGCTTTGAGATTATATTTTCACATCTGTTTTTGTCGTTTGCATGCATATAGAATCACACATTTATCTCTTTCTGTTACTGTGCTATATTACACAAAAACAACTGGTTGGGTTTTCTCAAGAGGATATTTTGGGGTGACCTGAGTTAAAATAGAGGTTATATCATCATTTAAATTCACTTTGGGCAGCCTTAGAAGACACCCCAAAGACATAGGCTATCATCCTAGAGAATGCTATAACTGCTGATAATAAGGGACGTGCCATAGATATTAAGATGCTACCGGGAGGGAAAATAAACAGTGATTTATAACGCAAGCCCTGATTTGAAAGTCACAAGGTCAGACACTTGGAATTGCAGGTGTTGATTTGTGATCAAGAGGTTTTTCACATGGACAACTCTAGAAAGCCTTATGCAGAGTGAGTAACAGCACAAAGGTACTACTAGAATATTGGCAAAAATTAACCCAAGCAATGCAGAGACCAGATCACTCTGAATGTGTTTCTATTTTCATAGATTTCACCTAGTATATTTAGGTTAAAGAATAAGGCACAATGAACCTTCCCTATCTCTAAAAAGGAAAAGAAATTTTTTTTGCTTTCATTATCACTTTTCTAAATACTGAGCAGCTCGTTAGTATCCTCACTCTGATCTATAAATATAAATATAATATTAATATATTTATGATATTAAGTATAAATATTAAATATAGCCGTATTAATATATCTATAATATTTAATATATAATACTCATTAATAGATAACGAGGCAACACTATGGCATTTTGTTCCCTATGTTTTAATATCTTGGAGATGGTTATCTTGTAGTATGTTGCAGAAATGCGTTATCCCCATGAGAGCCTTTGGAATGTGATGACAACCATAGTGTGGGAGCCGACAGAGTCACTGCTTAGGTGGGAAATGTCTAATAGAAAGAAAAGAAAACTTAGAACATAGCTTTGAGGATCTTGTATTGAAGGATGGAGAAGACAGCAATCTGAGAAAGTGACCAAAAATATCCAGGAGAAATACTGGGAGGAGTGTAGGGTCCTGGAAGTGAAGGAAAGAGAACGTCTCATGAAAGAAAGGGAAGCGAGGCACAGTGGATGGAGGCAGCTGTTGGAAACACCACTTGAATTACTTGATTGTAGTTCAATCAGTTTTCAAACCCCAGTGAGGGAAAACCTGAGATGTCTGTGGGTTGAGGAGGGAATGAAGTTGAGCATGAGAATCTGAAGGGAGAAGGAAGGCAACGACGGCTCACAGATTCCTCATCACCAAAGGAGGGGAGGTGGATCAGGGAAGGTTTGGGCTTAGCTTTTTAACACACCATTGCAGCTATTTTTAAGACAAATGTAAGAAACTCAGAACAAGAGATCGCTTATAAAATAATTGAAAAAATACATAGTTTAAATCAGTTCTTATAAAACATTGAGGTGACAAGATTAATATAGGTCTTGTTACATTTTTATTTTTCCATTGTTAAGTGTAATGCAATTTATATAAATATCAGTTTCCTTTAGCATTACTTTTGCATGACCTTAGCTCTATGCTTTATTCATATATGCTATTTCATATAAATGATATAACCCTTTGAAATTCAATTTAGAAAAATACCCTAAAGATATTGTGAGCCATATTTATACACAGTTGTATAACACTCTCCTTGTACTAGAGCTGGTTTTACATAACGATTTGGGATTGAGTTCCTTTTTTATGAATGCATTTTTGAATGCCACTTCTCTTGTAGGCAAGTGTATGGGTATTGTATATTTGTCCCTGATGTAGATTATAAATCTAGATTTATAAGGCATCATTAGGCCTAGCAGCCCAAGTTTTCATATCTATTTCTTCAAGACAAAATATTTCAACATTACTAATAAATCATGAAAAGTACTAACATAAGGAGACTGAAATAATTTGTTAAATGTTATTTTTCAAAGTAAAACAATTTCACTCCTAGGCTTTAGAGTCAGGAAAACAAACAAACAAACAACAAACATTGTTTAAAATTATGGGTTCTTCCATGTTACACTGATACTACCATATGACACCCCGAGCTTCAGTTTTCTTATCTGTATAATGTGGACAATCATCATTGCACCGAAAGAATTCAGTCAATGCTAATAGAGTGCCTAGCGCATAGGAAAACTGTCAGAAGGGTACCTTTAGCTGCAAGTAATGGAAACCCCACTTAAGTCTAGCTTAAACAACTAGGAAATTTATTTGCTGACATAATTTGGAACATGAGCTGGGGAAACAGTCATGATTGATTTAAGGAGTCCACTTTCCTTTCCACAGTGGTGCATTCCTTTATTTGCTTGTTGTCTTTGGGGTACCCCTTTTATGTTGGCTAGTTACAGAAATCTACATTCACATCCTCGCACTACATCATTCATCAGAAGAGAGTGCATTATTTCCATAAGCTCTCTTGTTGTAGTAAGGAAGCTTTTTCTTCCAGAAGCCGGCCCTGCCCCTACATTTCCCCTGTGTCTCAGTGGCCTGACCGTGCTCACTTCTGAAGCAATCCTAATGGCTAGGAGAAAGCCAAGGGCCTATTGGCCAATGTTCTTAAACCAATTATTGCAAAGGTTATGGGATTATCCTTAGGGTCACTTTTGGGGTTGTAGGCTGGGTCAGATTCTTATGTATCACTGTATGAAGAAGGGAATGATACTCAAAAATATTAGAGTTAAATTTTGAATAATAGTAGGGCACTGATGAGGCATCAAAGTGACACCTATATTTAACCTGTTTGGGGCCCTATTCCTTCACACCAAAGAAGGAAACCAAAGCATAAGTCCCATCTGAGCCAATTCAGTTCATGCGTTGAATCACAATATGTTGGTGGTCCTAAAATTATTGGCCCAAAGTTGAGTATCTTGGTGTTTTGTTTTGTTTTGTTTTGTTTTGTTTTGTTTTGTTTTTTCGGAGTCCCACTCTATCGCCAGACTGGAGTGCAGTGGCACGATCTCGGCTCACTGCAACCTCTGACTCCCTGGTTCAAGCCATTTTCCTGCCTCAGTCTCCCGAGTAGCTGGGATTACAGGCACATGCCACCACACCTGGCTAATTTTTGTATTTTTAGTAGAGACCAGGTTTCACCATGTTGTCCAGGAGGGTTTCGATCTCCTGACCTCGTGATCCACCCACCTCCGCCTCCCAAAGTGCTGGGATTACAGGTGTGAGCTACCGCACCCGGCCTAAACCTGAGTATCTTTGCTCTCTATCATTCCCATTTTCAGCACCCGAGCCTTAAATAAGGTAATGGAATAAAATGAAAAACTTGTGCAAATGCTTTACAACATAGTTAGGTAAGTTTATCTGAAAAGATAAACTAATTTCCTATATATGACTTTGTTACATTATTCTCCTATGAGTGTCAAGTTATTTTAAGAATTCAGAGTTACCTATTAAAAATAAAATTGACGAGTTATCAAAATAGGCCTAGAAATTTAGAACATGGCTAAAACTCATCTGTACGAAAGAAGGAAGGAAGGAAGGAAAGAAAGAAGAAAGAAAGAAAAAGAAAGAAGGAAAGAAAGAAAGGAAAGAAAGAAAGGGAAAGAAGGGGAGGGAAGGAAGGAAGGAGGGAGGGAGGGAAGGAATGAGAGAGAGAGAGAAAGAAGAGAGAAAAACAAAGAATTGGGGTGGTCGTGTGCACCTATAGTCCCAGCTACTCAGGAGGCTGAAGTAGGAGGATTACTTGTGCTTGAGAGGTGGAGGTTGCAGTGAACCATGATGATGCCACTGAACTCCAGCCTGGGTGACAAAGTGAGGCCCTGTCTCAAAAAAACAACAACAACAAAACAAAACAAACAAAAGAAAACAAAGCAAAATTACAAGCTGTAATTTCACACCTGTGGTATATTTTATTTTGCTTAAACAATATGCTTTAATAAATATATATTGAAATGACAGAAAAATAATATTTTAAAATGTATCTGGGTCTACACATTAAGATTTAGTTTGCAGTATTCCAAACATCATTTAATGGAATTAAATAAAATTTCCAAATTTATAAACTAAAGAAGTGCTGCTTTCTTATGAATTCCCACTCTAAATTCATTAATTTAAGATACATGTGGCCTTTCTTTGTAACTTTAATATTTAAGGAAAATTCAGAATACTTAGCCTCATCCTTAATCAAAGTGTAATAAATTACAAACCCCACCAAAATCTCTACCTACTGAAAACTTCTAAAGGTAGGAGAGAGTATAGAGCCTACAGCTGACTCCCTACAATATTCTACATAGCAAAGTGAATTAATATTAGGCTTAACATAAAGCATCTGTTTTCTACCATTGACATTTACACACACATACACACACACTCCCCCACACATATAGAGTTTGTTAGGGTTCACCAAAGGTAATTAACCATCAGATGTATATTAATCACACACACATAAACATGCACACATATGTATTAACTAACACACACACATTTACAACAAAATAGTAGACAGAAAACCATTATAAGTGCAGTTTGGTAACTTTAAGGACCTTTGATGAGAAATTTCAAAGTTGGTGACAGTTCATATGAGGAAGGGTTTTTCCTCTGACAATCAGATGAGCTAATTAATCAGCATTTGACCCGGCTGGATCTTAGCCAGCCTAACTGTTAATGAGTGTGCACTGTTTTGCCAGCAAGAGCACAGTCTCTTCAAAAAATAATTGTCAGGGTCATTTTTGCTATGAACAAAATCTTATTTTGAAATGTGCTAGACTTTTTTAAAGCAACAATAAGAATGACACGATCATTCTTAAATATTTCTTATTAAATATTATGGTACCACCAAACATGAGCATTGTTTTATTTTTTTTTTTTTAACAAACTCATTGCTCTTCATTTATAGTTTTACATTTTAAAGTCATATGATGAGAACTATTTCTTCCAGTTTGCTTTCTGCTGCCACCAGACTTGATACCACAAAAGGTGTCTGGGTGCATGCCTGTGATGATATTGCCAGGCCGTTCCTTTCTTGGGGCCTGTGTATACATGGGCCTGCCTTTTTATTAGCACCTATTATAATATATGGCCATTAATTATTAGCTGTACATATTTTCTACTAGACTGTCAGCTCCTTGGAGGTACAAAACTTATTTTTCTCATTTGTACAGCCTCTCCGATATCTTTTATCAACTTCATGTAATCCTGATAGCTCAGTGAGGAACTGAGGAGTGGGGTCCCCTAAGAAGGACATAAGTCTAATTTTTAAAGACTAGGTGTAGGGCTGCAGCTTGGCTCTCAGCTGTGTATGATTCCAAACACCGAAGTATCTCCACGTCATCACCTTTTAATCACATTTTAGTGTGATTTATAAGCACATATTTGGAATACCACCACAAACACACACATACAAATGTCATTGTTATTTATATGCACGTATGATGGTAATATATATGTCTGCAAGTTTGTGTGTGTTTGATTAATATACATCTGGTGATTAATTTTCTTTTTCATTTTTTTTTGAGACGGAATTTTGCCCTAATCAGCCAGGCTAGAGTGCAATGTCATGATCTCAGCTCACTGCAACCTCCACCTCCCATGTTCAAGCGATTCTCCTGCCTCAGCCTCCTGAGTAGCCTCCGGATTACAGGTGCACGCCACCATGCCTGGCTAATTTTTATGTTTAGTAGAGATGGGGGTTTCACCATGTTGGCCAGGCTAGTCTTGAACTCCTGACCTCAGGTGATCTGCCCACCTCAGCCTCCTAAAGTGCTGGGATTACAGGTGTGAGCCACTGCGCCCGGCCTGATGATTAATTTTCAAACAAACCGTGTGTGTATGTGTGTGTGTGTGTGTGTGTGTGTGTAAATGTCAATGGTATTAGAAAATAGATGCTTTACATTAAGCCTGCTATGGATTCACGTTGCCATATAGAATATTGTAGGGAGTCAGCTGTAGGCTCTATACTCTCTCCCACCTTCAGAAGTTTTCAGTAGGTAGAGATTTTGGTGTGGTTTGTAATTTATTACACTTTGATTAAGGATGAGGTTAAGTATTCTGAATTTTCTTCAACTTTAAAGTACAAAGCCCACATATATCTTAAATTAATGAATTTAGAGTGGGAATTCATAAGAGAGCAGCACTTCTTCTTTAGTTTATAAATTTGGAAATTGTAATTAATTCCATTACATGATCTTTGGAATACTGAAAACTAAATCTTCATGTGTAGACTGAGATACAACTTTTTAAAATATTTTTCTGTCATTTCAAAATATATTTATTAAATTAAAATACAGTCTTTAAACAAAACAAAATATACCACAGGTGTGAAATTACAGCTTATTATATGTATTTTTTTTTTTTTAAATTTACTCTGTCAATCAGGCTGAGGTGCAGTGGCATTATCACTGCTCATTGCAGTCTCGACCTCCCCAAGCTCAGGTGATCTTCGTACCTTAGCCTCCTGAGTAGCTGGGACTACGAGTGTATGCCACCACACCTGGCTATTTTTTAAAAATGTTGGTAGAGGTAGGATTTTGCCCTGTTGCCCAGGCTGGTTTCCAACTTGTGGGCTCAAGCTATCGGCCGGCCTGTGCCTCCCAAAATGCTGGGGTTACAGGTGTGAGCCACTGTGCCTGGCCCACATATGAAATTTTGAACCAACAATCTTCTGAGCTCTTTTTATAGAAATTGATGTAAGATCACAATTATTTAGTGATCTGATATATTTTAGCTGCTGTCTATAATATTTGGAAAGGATCTGCAATATTAAACTGCTTTACATTTCAGTTATAAAAAAAAAGTTAAAATTTCATGTCACTATAATTATTACAGGTCACCTCATTCACTGTCTTTCCTTTTCCTTAGCATCCTTAGATAGCCACAGAACATTTCCTTAAACATTTCTTGTTACTTATTTCACATACTCACAAGTTCCCCCATTCCATTTCTAGAAAGCTTTTGGAATGTTTTATAAAACAGTATGAGCATTATTGCTGTAAGAATGCTATTGAAAGTGGAGTGTAGGTAGGCTTACTATACAAAGTGGAGTGTAGGTAGGCTTACTATAAAAAACAAGGTATACTAAAACACTCACTGCTATAAAAAACAAGCCTCAAAGACACATGCACATGTACGTTTATTGCAGCACTATTCACAATAGCAAAGACTTGGAACCAACCCAAATGCCCATCAGTAATAGACTGGATAAAGAAAATGTGGCACGTGTACACCATGGAATACTATGCAGCCATAAAAAAGGATGAGTTCATGTCCTTTGCAGGGACATGGAAGAAGCTGCAAACTATCATTCTCAGCAAACTAACACAGGAACAGAAAACTAAACACTGCATGTTCTCACTCATAACTGGGAGTTGAACAGTGAGAACACATGGACACAGGGAGGGGAACATCACACATTGGGGCCTGTTGGGGTTTGGGGGATAGGGGAGGGATAGTATTAGGAGAAATACCTAATGCAGATGATGGATTGATGAGTGCAGCAAACCACCATGGCACGTGTATACTTATGTAACAAACCTGCACGTTCTGCACATGTATCCCAGAATGTAGAGTATAAAAAAAAAAGCCCCCAAATATATAATGGAATGTTGCAATGTAAGTTTATGTGTTATTCAAGTGAGATTAAAAATGTGTGTTCCTGGTTTGCAGAAGGCACCCTCCACATGATAGAGGAAGCAGAGTTTTCCTTTGGTTCCTCTGCATCCACATAGTATACCAGGAAGAGAAAGAATAGAATAGAGCACAAAAGAGATTTTCATGAGCTTTTGTAGAAAAAGCCTGAGCCCCTTTCACTCACATTACTTTGGCCAGAACTCAGTCTTCTGACTCTGTCTACGGAGGAATGAATTTTAGCTGTGTGCCAGGAGGAAAGAAGAACAGGTTCATATTAGCTTTCCGGCTTCGTTGTCTTCTCACATTTTGTTCCCACCACATTGACTTTTCTGTTTGTTCGTTTGTTTTGTTTTGTTTCCAGAAGGCACTACAGGGTCATGCCACAAGTTGTTTCTTCTACAAGGAATGCGGAATGCTTCCCACTTTATGCAGGTTACCCAGCTGACTTCTATTTTTCATTTAAAACTCAATTCAAATATTTAGTTATCAGGAATGTCTGCTCTAATATGATACATATTATTATTCATAACACACAATTTCAACATCAGTGAGAATTTTTTTGATGAATGTTTATCTCCCGAAGTAGACTGCAAGTTTTTAATGACAATGATCATGCCTGTCCACCCTCCATTATTACACAGCTCCTATCAAAGTCAATAGAATATGAAATTATGTTTTTAATTAATGAAAGAAAACTCCACCCTCCAACTCTTAATGACAGTACAGGTTGAGCATACCTAATCCAAAAATCTGAAATTCAAAATGCTTCCAAATCCAAAACTATTTGAGTGCCACCATGACATCACAAGTGGAAAATTCCACACTGGACCTTGTGTGATAGGCCGAAGTTAAAACACAGATGCACAACACACCATTTATTCAGCATCCCCAAAGACAAAGAGATTCTCTCAGCCTCCCTGAGCTGTGATATGTTTCTGTGCATGCCCAGGTTTCCCCATGCAATCACGCCCACAAATGGTATCACACAGCATGGTAGGCAGAGACTGAAAGCTTGCCATTCTTGATTGTTGCTGTTCTTTAACAGCTGATACAGGTATTCTGGTGATGCTACTGTGTTAGTCAGTTATCCTGGACACATTGTTTTTTCTTATATTAATGGTATGTTAGATTTTTTTACTGTTAAGTTCTGACATGTGACTAAGCATAAGAAAATGCTTGCTTATTGGTAGCATATAAATTCAGAGTCAGGAATGATAGTGAGAGAAAACAACCACAGAGAAAACAGTCCACAGGTGTGGCTGAGATAGTGATGCCTCTGCTTTCTGATGGTGCAATGTATACAAGCTTTGTTTCATGCACAAATTATTTAAAGTGTTACATAAAATTACCTTCAGGCTGTGTGTATATGGTATATATAAAGCATAAATGATTTCTATGTTTATACTTGAATTCAATCCCCAAGATATTTAATTATGTATATACAAATATTCCAAAATCTGAAACACTTTTTGTCCCAAGCATTTCGGATGAGGGATACTCAGCCTGTACTCCCATACAATGAGGCCTTAACCACAGAAGAAAACAATAGGTTCTTCAAAGAAATTGGTTGTGACATTTAAAGGGTCAAAATGGGTGGTAAATGTGGAATAATAATTGAGAAATGTAAAATAATTGAGAAAATAGCCAAGAATACCTGAGTATGAAAATAGATGTGAAATTTTAGCAGTCTATCAATAAAATCTTGATCAAACACCACTTATTCAGCTGCCATATATGAGTGTCAATGAGGAGACTGTAGAGCAGTTAGCATGATTTTTACATTCAGTTTATTAGGTAGAAGAAACCCTGCATCCATTGTCAACATTCATTCTGAATGCAATGTCACTATCTATTTTATTGGCTTCTTTTTCCCAATGCAATATTTGTGATGAAGTGTTCCCCAAGTTATGCTTTTATCTTCTTTGTGTCCATCTAATTCTTTGTGGGTGATGTCCACTACTCTGACAGCATCACCTATCATAAAATGCTCTGGATCTATAATTCCAGTCCTGCCTGAGTCCTGTTTCTGCATTTTCTTTGCTGATCTTTACTCAAAGATGCTCTGAATTCCTCTGAAACTTAACCTGCCTCAAATTAAATTTAGGATAAGACTTCTCCTTTTCAATATCCTTCTCCTCCAGTATTCTCTGTGTTAATTCAGAGTATCACCATCCATCAGTTATCAAAGCCAAAAGAGTCATTTTTCATTTCCTCTGACCCATTTGCCATGACCAAGAGAAGAAAGAGCTTCAGCTCCTGAGCCTAGGATGTCTGTTTTTGCCAATTATGCCAATCCAAATCCGGCTGTCATGAAACCTGGATGGAAAAAACAAAGCCAGTGCCAGCTCTGTTCAGTAGGATGGAAAATCTCTGTGGCTTGGTAGCCTCCCAGGTTCCTACAGAGAAGGTTCATTCTGAGATGAGGATCTCTGTGGCATATGGTCTTCAGGAGGAGAATATCTATGAGAAAAGAGTCTCCCTAAACCAGAAAAATGAGAAATGCAAAGAAGATCTGGACAAGGCAGTGGTGGAAGTGTCCCCTTTAGATATTTGGTTAGTGCTGGCATTACTGCCTGTGGACCAGATGGTCCCAAAGTTACTACACACTGCACTGTATGCCTGCCTGCTTTCCTGCCTGCTCCAGAGTCTACTGAGAAGCTGTATTATTTGTGGATGTATGTGACACAGTCTCTGCACTGTAGTTATAAGCCATGTGTCGCTCCAATTCCTAAGAATCCAGTCATTCCAGAGATTACTCCTCATACATGAAAATCCTCCAGATTCCTACTTTCTGATAAAGAAATATTATTGTGAACAGATCAGAACCAATGTAGGAATTCAACCTCAAGTTCAAAAAAATCATCTTCTAGATCAAAATGAGGAAAGACTGCAATTTACCATTCAAGGCAAAAATATCCATATATTGTACCAGACACCTATTAACTTCAATAAGGATGGTCCCAGGTTCAAGAGTGAGGAGAAGAGACCCACAGCCAGTGAATGAAACATGGGGTTTATTTGATGGGGACATACGGGACAGTCCAGTGGTGGCAGGCTGGACAGAACCGCTACAGCTTGCAAACTGCATGCAGTTTATGTAGCATTTTCACTTAGCACCCTCTCCTTAGCAACCTCCAGGTTAACAATTCATTTCTTAAGTTGTTATTGCTTTCAGGTATGTCTGCCATACAGGGTCGTTCTCGGGGTATGCTTAAGTTATTGCTGTCAGGTACATCTCTCATAAACCATAGTAATCCAGACCAAGACTGCTCCCTTCCACAGGCCAAAACCTCCAACTTCATCTTTCTCTGTCCCTTGCAGGGGTATAGTTACCCTGTTTACTATGTTTATTATTATTATTATTAATATTATTATTATTATTTATCCCTGACTGGTGATACCCTGAAAGTCTTCCCACCTGAGAGCTTGGTTATTGCTTCCAACCCCGGGTGAACCCCTAAGCTAGACCAGTCCGTTAGTGACCAGATTCCAGTGAAGAAGGGGGCAGTTGGCTTGCATATATGGTTCATGTTGAACCAGCCCTTCATGTTCCTGGAGCTCCCACTAAGGGGATGGAGAAGGGATCAGGAAAGAGGGTTGAATGAAGAAGAGAAACACGTATAAATGTAAAAACATGCATCTGAGAAAAGAATCTTAGCCCCGTTCTTAAATTCAGAACTCTATTTTTGTGCTTTTAAACCTGTCAGTCCTCAGCGTCACTCCCTCCACCACTGCCATCTCAGCCCTGAAGCTTCCTGGTTTCTTCACAGAACAAAGATCAGTACTTGGAATGTGGCAAGTACTCATTAAATGTTTTGGATTGTGCAAAACAGTCACAATCAATTGGTACCTCTCTATTAATGCTCCCCCACCTCTGTATCTCTGCTCATGCTATTTCTCATTTGCAATGCTCATCCCTCCTTATTTCTCCTTTGAAGTTTTATTAATCTCAACTGAAAAAAGGTTTTCTTCTTGACCAAACTCCAATCAGGCTTCCCTGAACTCTTTTTCAACTAGGCCTGACTTTTAGACGCCTGTGTTTGTGTGCATTGTCTAATTGCAGTAAGAATCTTGCAGAGTTGGTTTAATTTTAGCAAGACTCTTGCAGAGTTAGTTTAGCCAGGTTCTCCCATGCTTCATATCTGATCACCATCAATATCTAATTGGGTTCCCCACCCTCCACTATCCTCCAGGTGATGTGAAGGGAATGATATCTGATGACCCTGGCCTGTCTTCAGCAAGAATCCTCATAGGTTAGTTTAAACAGAATTCCTCCTTACTTCTAATGTTTCTTCTAAGTAATTTTCCATCCACTGACTCACATCGTGCTTTTTGGCTGTAATTCCCCCTCATTCATGCTGTATCAGGAATTGAACCCAGTTCTGTTCTGAGGTCCCTTTTACCCTATTGCAATAATACTGAATAGAATCTGTTTCTATTGCCTTAACTACCGTCCAGTTCTAATGTTATTTGATACAATAATCCATCTTGTCATGTTCCATATGTAGCCTTCCAGGCTTTTCCAGATGAGCCTGGCTTGGTAATCATTATCTCTTCTAGGATCTTACAGCTCTATTTGGTGTTTGCACGTCTATTACTTTATTCTATAACTGATTTTCTTACTAGTGTTTACACACACACACACACACACACACTTTTCATAAATGTGACTCCCTATAACCCAATATACATTTTGGTATATTTGGATCATTGAGTAAATACATTAAACTTTTTGTTTTCTTTTTTGTCTCAAAAACTTACAAATCATCTGGCTTTTAGGAGGTGATTTGTACACAAATTACATAAAAAGTGAATTTCTTTCATGGTGTTAACTGTTGAGAAAATCTTACGCCAACCTTTTCAGGAGCCATGGTGGTTCCGAGATGCTTTAAAAATAAATTACCAATCCTCTGTAATTTTGCGTCCTCTCATCTCACCTACTCATAATAAATGAAGAGAAGATATGTCATGCCTCACAGGCAATCATATACTGATAAATATTTAATGACTGGCTCTCAAAAAATATTAAAAATACCAATTTGTAGTGTTTGCTGATTTTTATGATATAAATACACCCACCATGACAGATGCCTAATTACCAACATGACAACGCTGACCCTGGAGTTAGGAAGAGGTGTGTAGTGACACATCATCATATCTTTACCATCCATATATGATAGCTGTGAATAAACTCGAGGACATAAGTCATAGTAAAATCCAATTTTTAATGATGGATATGTTTAACCACTGGCTTGAAACTTCCTGATATTTAATTATAAGCTCTCAACCACTGTGTGGGTTGGCTCCAGCACATCAGAAAAATGGATTGCAGCATATTCAGATTATATAATCACTCTCAGTAGCATAACAAGGATATTACTTGGCATAAAAATTTCATAAATTGATTATAGACCCGTGTTATCAAGAAACATACTCTATATATTATTTCATCACTAGTGTTCCTTGAAACTGAATTTTACAAGGTTCTAACATTGTCACATGCCTCAAATCATCCTCCAAAGATACTAATAATCTAGTTATTGAGTTATATAAATGTATAAGGAAGGTACGTGGGAAAAATATATAATAGTATGAATACATGGAATTATGTTGATCATGACCATTATTCCTTAAGAGGAATATTATATTTTCAGAAAGATTTGAAGAACTTAAAGCTTATACCTCCAGTGGCCCACTAATTCACAGTCTAAAATGACAGAACATGATAAATTTCAATATCTTATACAATTTCTCATAGCCTCTGGCAGGAGCAATTCTTGAAACAGTAGGTGGAAATATACTCATTAAGCTGCAAAATTGCCTATATTCAGGACACCTGCCAAGCAAGCATTCCCTAAATTACCACCTGTTACCATAACATCAAAGACATCCAAAATACTTGCTTACTAAATCTAGTCTCCCTAAGTATATATAATTTTCCTATAATGCTGCTTGATGGTAGAGCAGTATCTTAATTTCATATACATAAATCAAAGTTGTTTCTGGACAGCTAGGGCTCGAACCTGGTTTTCAACAGCTATTCCTGAGGTATAGTTGATCTTTAGTGTTCTATTTGATGTTGAGTTATAGTCACACTTTTTAACTTGTCCAGGTGTAAATGGTAGTTGCTGAGGCCTTTATATAAAGCAAATTTACTATCACTGATACATGAAAGAAAATCATTTTACTGATATTGTAGCACTGAAAGTTGTCAATGGATTATCTAAGATGATTAGAAGCTGTGGATAAATTAGTAGTAGGCCAATATATTTTGCTTGAGATCATGTGTCAATATAGCAGCATGCTCCGGAGCAGACATCTATAACTAATAATCATATAAATTCTGCTATATATGTCTATAGTCAGTCTATCCACATAGATTTTCAGTCACTGTTACATTCAGTAAATAGAATGTAACAATATCATGTGGAAACTTGGTTAGATAATTCTGCAAGACATATCAAATGGATGAGTGATAAGAGGAAACCAACTGCTTTATGACAAGCTGAGGTGGAGTGAATTGGTACAAGGACACCCAGAAGCACAATGTCAGGTGATGAAAAGGCTGTGTAATAATGAGAGGAAACAGTAATAGGAGAAGAGGAAATAATTAGCAATCAGAAACATCGTGATTAGAAGAGTGCATAGGTTATGAGCTGATGAGGCTAAGCCCTAAACACCACCACTTTTTAATAAATGTGCCTACATTATTACCCAAAAAGAGTTCTTTCAAAGAATTTTTGGCCACATTCACCCCCCCAGCCTCCAAGAAAGAGAGAGATAGAAGGGAGACAGAGAGAGAGAGAGAGAGAGAGAGAGAGAGAGAGAGAGAGAGAGAAATTGTTGAGGGGCTAATGTGAGCCATGGTGGTTTTATTCATCACTATAACAGTAGTTTAGAGACTACAGGTTCAGGGGCCAGACAGCATGGATTCGAAAGTGAGCAATATCATTTCTTTTGTGACCTTAGGCAAGTGACTTAAACTCTTTATATCTCTGTTTCCTCATTTGTGAAATGCTGATTGAAATGATATCATATTTCATAAGGACATTGTGAGGGTTAAATGGAATAATGCAAAGAAAGCCCTTGGCACTGCCTACTGTGATGAAACTGTTCCAAAAAGTCAGCTATTATTTTCATCCCCACTGCCTAATATGTAGGGTGTCAGTAACCGTAAATAAATGTTGAGGTTGAATGAATTCACATTACCATCCAAGATACTTTCAAAAATAACCAGGAAAAAAGGCATACATCCCTTTAGAGGAAGATGAAGAAAAATGTTATTGCAGCACGGGAGAGCACTGTATTCTTATTAAGGAGTTTATGTTCTGGATAGAACTTCATAGGAGGCATGGCATTGATCATCACTGGTCTTTTATCATCATTATCATTATAGTTTGGTGGCCGTTGTTGGCATAAATCAAAATCATAGAATTGTAGATTTGGATGAGAGTGTAAAGGTTATTTAGTGTGCTTTACTATAATACGATCATCTGCTATAATATCCGTGAGCATGTCACCTCTGGTCACGTATCCACAGAGAATAATCTCATTGTTGGCTTTAGAAATAAAATAAATACCTGAGAGTCCATAATGGCAATTTTAAAAAAATGAATACATTGAGCATAACCACAAGCATAAATTATATGGCTTAATTATTTTGACACGCACACACATACACAGGCACATGTATAAGTTTTATATATAGAAGTATATATAAATGTAATATTTGCCCTTTCTTGGTGCTTTACATAATACTCATGCACTGTTTCACTAATCCTTTGTCTTCCCAGAACCTTAGTTATATTTAGCAATGTTATTTCACAATTTACAAAAGAAACACAACTTATTTTGACTCCGACATTATGGACATTTCTGGGGATACTGCTTTTTGGATTGAGTTCTAAAGTTGGACATAAATAATTAGATCAACATTGTGGAGAAAATATACTATAATTTAAATTTTACGTTGTTATTTTTATTAATGTGGGTACAATAAAATAATAAACATGACAGCATTAATTAAACTATGAAATAGCATCTCACAAAATTGCTAAAATTATAACAATCAGCAAAATCCTCTCTACTCCGAACCTCTTCTCCTAGAGTCACATGCATCTTTTGGCTCCTGTTTCTCCTCTGAAGAACACTGCAGCCTTACAAGGTCATAACTGTTTCACCTCCTTTAAACTTCCAGGCATACGCATGCTCCTCTCTTCAGTCACACTCACTTGGATAAACCTCAGCTCACACCAAATCCAGTCCCTGCCTACTCTGTTTAATCATGGAGGCAACTAAGTCAGGCTGGAGAAAAACATGCAACTTTGATGACTTGTCTCACTGTGTTTCACGACCATTGAATTAAATGGGCTGTTTCTGCTGTCTGGGCACCATCCCATTCATAAACTCCAGATGTCAACACAGCAATTGTCTCTTCTTTTTTCTGTTTCTCGATTTTACCTTTCTACTCTATCACTTCCATCGTCATAATAACATGCTGTTATTTTTCCTTTCAAATAAGAATAAAAAAAAGGAATCTCGATCTGACAGGCTAGTTGAGTTCCTGCCTATTTCTCTGCACGTCTTTTGGTAGATCTCCTGGAGAGTTATTTTTTATACTCACTGTCTGTACTGTTTCCTGCTGCAATTATGTTTTGAACACCTCAAGTTTAGCTTTTGTGCTCACTACTCTATCAAAATATGTCTTGTCAGTGTTACCAATGGTTTTCACATGGCTCAGTCCAACAGTCAATTCACATTCCTCATTTATGGACCTATCAGAAACATTTAACACAGTTGTCCTTTTTTTCTGGAATACTTTTGCTTGGCCTCTGGAACCCCTTCCCTATCCACTTCTTTACTGTCTCATTGGCTGGAACTTCTTTTCCTCTAAAAATTAGAGCGCCTCAGATTTTCTTTCTCAAACTTCTCTATGTAAATCACTCTTTAGGTGATCTCACTCAGCATCATGGCTCTAAATATTATTTATATTCTGAGGAAAAAAATACATAGATACCTTTACTCAGAACTGTTTCCCAAACTCCACATTTTCAAATCCAGACTTCATTTTCTCCACTTCAGTGATGTAAATTCTCAAATGGAGAATGCACTAAATGCACTAAAAATGAAAATCCTTCCAATTCCCCAAAAGCCTCTTTGTTCCAGTTCCCCATCTCATTAACTGACAATTCCAACCTTTTAGCTTTGGTCAAAAATATTGGAGTCAGTCATTTTTTTCCCTTCACTCCTTACTTTCCCTGTCATATAAAAAATAACTAATCAAAATATATGTTGTCTCTGCCTTCAAGATATGTCTAGAATCTAATTACTTTTGCACTACCACCATTGGGCAAGCCATTTTCTCTTACCTAAATTATTGCAATAACTTGCTACCTGTTTTCTCTTCTTCTGCCTTGAACCCATGAATAATCTATGCTCAATCTACTAGCTAAAATAATCATTCAATATTAGAGACACATTGTGTCTCTTCTCTACTCAAAGCCCTCTAATTGTTTTCTGTCAAAGCCCTCCAATTATTTTCTGTCTCACTCATAATAAAAGCCACAGGTTATACAATGCCTCCTATAAGTCTAACATGGTCTGGGATCCCGTATTTCCTCTCTGATCTCATTGTGTTCTACTCTTCTTCTTGCTAGGCATATTCTACCTGTGCCTAGAACTATCCACTTTCCTTCCTCCTTTTATGTCTATACCTAAATATATCCACCAATCAGGCCATTTCCCTGATCATCTTATAGATAAAAATCTGAACTCCCTTTTTCCCCGCCGCCCATAATTCTTCTCCTCCTTATATTATGCTTTAATGTATTCCAGCGCTCACAACACTTGGCTTACCATCAGCTTTTTGGTTGCTTGTGTGAGCCCTCTCACACAAAGTTTAGATAGCTATAGAGACAGAGAGCCAGAAAGACGACAGACAGAGATAGATAGATAGATAGATAGATAGATAGATAGATAGATCTCTAGTTTTATGTACTACTGCATCGTTTGTGCTTACAATGCCTAGAATATAAGACACTAAATTTTTTGAATGAAATACTTAAGAAATTAATTATGTACTCTATGCTTTTGATGGCATTCTGTAAAACTATGTGTAAAATGTTGATTTATAGAGATTTATATTTCCCGTTAATTTCCGTTATGCTTTCTGAAACATGTTTCTCTGGGGAGTGAAATGACCTTAAACATACTTAAGGGTTAGTCTAACATTTATCTTTGAGAGCATTTTCTCTTCGGAAGCTGGCCACCTAGACACATTAATTTTTCCCACACAATACTGGTTAAAGAGGTATTTCAGTGGCTAGCGATCCTCAACCATTCGTAAGCAACACTCCATAATAGTCAGTTTTCAGGAGCAGGAAAATGAAGGCTAATCCTAGGGCACCCATGATACCTGGCTGTGCTAAGTAGCAAAATTACGGGCATTTTCTTTTCATTACAACTCACGTACTGCAAATATGTTATCTGCATTTTGACATTAAATTATATTGCCACATAAAATATGTTTAAATAATCTTATTTTTGTTCTCATTAGTACCCAACTTAAAAATACTTACAAAATAGTTAATAATAAATACTTTAAAAAGACGTTTTAAAATAAATAAAAATAAACACTTTAAAATCGCTCACAAAGCACTACTTTCATTTCCGATGCATTTTTTCTCCATTTTTTGCACACATAATCATATTCTAAAAGGTGAGGTGGAAAGAGTTACTGGTCCTAAAATATCTGTTTGTAATGTTTTGATTATACTTGTGCTTTGGGTGTGTACACGTTTACATATATGCATATATGTGTGTTTGTATCCAGGCATGCGTATGTATTCTGTACCTTTTTAGTACTTGTATTGTTGCATCGCTGAATACACAATATAATTTTTACTTATCCTTTTTATGACCCATTTGACCTCCATGAGAAAACATGTGGCATATTCCCTTATTCATCTATGCATTTCCAAAACCTAGCTTAGTACTTGACATATAATAGCTGGTCAGTAAATTTGCTTTATTTTATACTGAAATATATTGCTCTAAGCCAGATTTTCACAAATTGTTATGAGAGATATAGTAATTCTGCAATATGTGAGTAATAATATTCTAGGGTTTCACATACAGAATAATCTGAATAATGAACTCCCTCTTGGGATGCTGTAATGTTCATTAACATAATTATACTCTCTAAGAAACTAAAAATTACCAACAAAAGGCAATCGTTTTAACACTGCTTAAGATATAAACAACTAATTTTCCCATTTCCTTTTTTAAATATATCTCCCCTGATATCTTAATTTTAGAAGCAGATTGCATTATGATAAATACTTACAGAGTGACTAGAATATTGTTTGGCATAGATCTAGGTTGATAATGACATTAATGAACTTTGCAAACCGAGTTCAATTCCAGAAATGGGTACTGTACTTTTCTGAGAAATTGCTATCTCATGTGGCAGATAACTTATATATATGAAAAAGTATAGTAAGAAATTTGAGGAATTTTGACTTAAATGTGTGAAGAATTTTTATAATTGCTGTGCCTACAGTGAAAATGGCTATTTTGTCACCTAAACAGTCAGGGAGAACTTGGAAATGTGAAAGTCCTTAAAATTCTACTGCTTACTGTAGTCTCAGTATGAAATAATGTAATTATGTTTACTTGTAAGTTATCCTATGGTTGCAGATAGGAAGACTCGATACTATAAATATGTCAATTCTTCCTATATCAATCCATATTTATGTTAATATAAAAGTAAAAAATAAGCCAACAGTGTGTTTGAACAAAATAAGCTTATTTTAGAGTTTATATGATAAAAGAAGTATGCAAAAAAATCTGCGAAATTATGTTGAAGAAAAACAACATGGGAGAGCTAGCTCTATAAGATATTAAAACATATAAAGTCTCAATAAATAGAACAGTATGATACTGGTTCAAAGAAACAAAACAGGAATATGTGCAAATACATAGGAAAAATTATTATACATAGGAAATGGTATGAATGCAAAAAAAGTAGAAGAATTAAGTTGACTCCATATACCATTTCTTATACAGGCAAAATTCCAAGAAAATAAAAGATCTAAATGAACTAAAGTGGTAGCAATTAGAAGAGTGAATATAATTTTAAAGAAAGTAAAAAAAATAAATAAATAAAGATTGAACCCAAATGGATGTACAAAGCATTCAAAACAAGAATCCACAAAAACTTGTAGGTAAAGACAAATGTTTTATTTTGGGAATAATGCAGAAAATGGTATCAAAATTGACTTGAGTTAAATAATCAATTTGAAGTTGTGGAAACCTGAGGATGTCATATGCTCAGTATGAAAACTGGGTTTGATGTTAGGGAAAGATGTATGTTAATTTGCACGGAGACCCTTAAGATTATATGCGGCTATAGAGGGAAATGTGGCTATGATCTTAAGGATGAGTTTTTGGCGGCATCCACTGAAAAGATGTAAAAAGTAGGAGAGTAACTTGAGTGCATAGACTAGGCATGTCAAGACCTCAAGGGAAGAGGTAGTTTGAAGAATTTATTAGGTGATCAACAGCATCTAATGTTGCAATAGGTGTTTATTCATACAGAGTAAGATAAGAGATAGAAAGACAGCAAAGGAAAGAACATGCAGGGATATTGCTTCTAAGTTTTCCACTATGACTTTCAATGATCTTCAATTTCCATTTCCACAAAGAATGTTTACTTGATATTTAAAAGGAAATTAATTGTAGGCATCTCTTATTTCCTTTGTATTTTAATGAGTCATCATTTCAAAACTTTTGTCACATGTCAGTGTTAAATATGACATAACTACGTTGCCCTTGATACTAGTTAAAATTAAATTTTTTACTGATTGGAAAATACACATAGTGATTTATTTCAGAGGGTAAAAAATATTATACTAAAGTCTATTAAGAATCAGTTGTGCTAGGAGTCTCCTTCAATGTGTTTCAAATATTTGGTGTGTTCCAAATTAAGACAGAGTGGAGAACGAAAACTTTCAAGTTTGAAACACCAAAGATTGTATAGGATGGGGGAGACCAAATACTATTAAAATTCACCAGGGTCATTCTATCTTGGAGGTCTCTTAGGAATCCATGTTCCATCTCTTCCGTTATTCCCAGATAACAGCATGATTTTGCCATTGTCTTCAATTTCCAGATGCATTAGAAGTGTGGCAAGATACAATTAGAGTGTGTAACTTAAATGCTAGTAAGACCTATTCAAGCAAGCATAGGGCTCTGCACTTACAGAAATGTACAAGTAAATCTAATTTACTAAAATATATTTAGTACATGTAAATTTAAAATATTGCGATAGCTGGGCGAGGTGGCTCACGCCTGTAATCCCAGCACTTTGGGAGACCAAGGCGGGCGGATCATGAGGTCAGGAGATCGAGACCATCCTGGCTAACAGGGTGAAACCCCGTCTCTACTAAAAATACAAAACATTAGCCGGGCGTGGTGGCGGGCGCCTGTAGTCCCAGCTACTCGAAAGGCTGAGGCAGGAGAATGGTGTGAACCCAGGAGGCGGAACTTGCAGTGAGCCGAGACCGCGCCACTGCACTCCAGCCTGGGGGACAGAGTGAGACTCTGTCTCAAAAAAAAAAAAGATACAAACAAATGGAAGAACATTCCATGCTCATGGGTAGGAAGAATCAATATCGTGAAAATGGCCATACTGCCCAAGGTAATTTACAGATTCAATGCCATCCCCATCAAGCTACCAATGACTTTCTTCACAGAATTGGAAAAAACTACTTTAAAGTTCATATGGAACCAAAAAAGAGCCCGCATTGCCAAGTCAACCCTAAGCCAAAAGAACAAAGCTGGAGGAATCACACTACCTGACTTCAAACTATACTACAAGGCTACAGTAACCAAAACAGCATGGTACTGGTACCAAAACAGAGATATAGATCAATGGAACAGAACACAGCCCTCAGAAATAATGCCACATAACTACAACTATCTGATCTTTGACAAACCTGAGAAAAACAAGCAATGGGGAAAGGATTCCCTATTTAATAAATGGTGCTGGGAAAACTGGCTAGCCATATGTAGGAAGCTGAAACTGGATCCCTCCCTTACACCTTATACAAAAATCAATTCAAGATGGATTAAAGATTTAAACGTTAGACCTAAAACCATAAAAACCCTAGAAGAAAACCTAGGCATTACCATTCAGGACATAGGCATGGGCAAGGACTTCATGTCTAAAACACCAAAAGCAATGGCAACAAAAGCCAAAATTGACAAATGGGATCTAATTAAACTAAAGAGCTTCTGCACAGCAAAAGAAACTACCATCAGAGTGAACAGGCAACCTACAAAATGGGAGAAAATTTTCCCAACCTACTCATCTGACAAAGGGCTAATATCCAGAATCTACAATGAACTCAAACAAATTTACAAGAAAAAAACAAACAACCCCATCAAAAAGTGGGCGAAGGACATGAACAGACACTTCTCAAAAGAAGACATTTATGCAGCCAAAAAACACATGAAAAAATGCTCATCATCACTGGCCATCAGAGAAATGCAAATCAAAACCACTATGAGATACCATCTCACAGCAGTTAGAATGGCAATCATTAAAAAGTCAGGAAACAACAGGTGCTGGAGAGGATGTGGAGAAATAGGAACACTTTTACACTGTTGGTGGGACTGTAAACTAGTTCAACCATTGTGGAAGTCAGTGTGGCGATTCCTCAGGGATCTAGAACTAGAAATACCATTTGACCCAGCCATCCCATTACTGGGTATATACCCAAATGACTATAAATCATGCTGCTATAAAGACACATGCACACGTATGTTTATTGTGGCATTATTCACAATAGCAAAGACTTGGAACCAACCCAAATGTCCAACAATGATAGACTGGATGAAGAAAATGTGGCACATATACACCATGGAATACTATGCAGCCATAAAAAATGATGAGTTCATGTCCTTTGTAGGGACATGGATGAAATTGGAAATCATCATTCTCAGTAAACTATCGCAGGGACAAAAAACCAAACACCTCATATTCTCACTCATAGGTGGGAATTGAACAATGAGATCACATGGACACAGGAAGGGGACTATCACACTCTGGGGACTGTTGTGGGGTGGGGGGAGGGGGGAGGGATAGCATTGGGAGATATACCTAATGCTAGATGACGAGTTAGTGGGTGCAGTGCACCAGCATGGCACATGTATACATATGTAACTAACCTGCACAATGTGCACATGTACCCTAAAACTTAAAGTATAATAAAAAAAAACAACAAAAAAAAAAAGAAAAAAAAATACTGCAATATCTTCCCGCCTTTTACACTGTTTTTTAATAATTATTTTATATCCTTTCTAAACTGAAAGTTCCATGGACATAGAGACTATGTCTTGTTTCTTTATTGTATTCATTTCACTGTATGGCTAGAAACTAGGGCTGGCCATTTTGTGTATTATTGTACTTGTTCCATATCTCATATTATCAGATGATTGATATTATTATCATCATTGTTTTCATTTTACCAATGAGGAAATGGATTCAGAGATTAAACACCTTGCTCTGGATCAAACATAACTCTTACTCTGGAAGCCAAATTCTTAGCCACCTCATGGTGTTGCCCTAGTACCTCAACTGTATTAATGCACTTAGTATAGTCATGTTATGCAGAAAAAAGGACTCTAAGATGGTGGAGGGTCTCAGAGCCAAGTTATGTCACTAATGAACTACAGATATTCAATGTAAATTCAGGAAGAAATAAGAGAGGTATGTAAACTCTCATGAATATTTGAGGTTTGCCATATCATGGATGATAATAATCATGCTGAAGTATTATTTCTGTTAGTATTATTATTTTAATTATTAGCATTTGAATCCACAAAAAGAAGATAGAATGAAGTGTGGTAGATGTAACACATTTTAATTCAATAGTGAGCATAGTTGAATAACTGGCATAGTGATACGACTGATATGATTCATCTTTACTGCTGGTGACTAGGCAGATAGTAGATGATTATCTGTCTCGAATGCTGTTGAAAAGTCTAAAAGTGCTGAGCTAACTTCTTCCAAGTGTTATGAATCTATGGAATTTAGTATAGTGCTCAACATTTATCATGTTGAGAATAAGATTTCCATTGACTTGAGAAAAGTAAAACATAATCTATAAGGCAGGAATATCAGCTGTTGTTATTCCCTAAGGTCAACTTAAATGTAAACCTCTGATTTACATAGAACATTAATATGTATGTATACATTTTTAGAAGCAGATTTGATTGCAGTCATAAATTTGCTAAAGTCCTAAATGCATTGTTGGCATCCAACCATTTACTGTTTTGGCATAATTATTAATATACTTACTATTATTCTGCCTATGAATGTGAATGAGTGTGATATCAGAATAATTAGAATGAGTCATATTATAAATCCTCTGTCCAACTTTGAATTATATTGTATGTATGCTTGAGCATTATAGATGTAAAAAGTGACATGAGTTCTACATGGAATATAATACAAGTATTACATCAAGACATTTTCATGTAGATTATTTTAGTAGTCGTAGAATTTTACTACATTGAAGGAATTGATATTATGACATTTTTGATAGGCAAACCAAGAGTGACCCTTTCAAATTGTACAATGTCAACTTCTATGAAGAAAGATAATTGAATATTGTTATTTGTTATTTAGAAGATTGAAAAATTTCAGTCATATTGTCATAGTCTGTTGATTGATTAAGCCTAGCCATAAGTCTATAACATTCATTTTTATGTTTTGTCTCTTTTGTATGGTTATGTGGAATCGATGCTATTACTTTGACCTCCAATATTTAATTCAACAAGCAGAAATATAACCTTTTCACTTGACAAAACCCACTTATTTTGCTTGAGAAATTATAAAACAAAACCAGCAGGTGCCTGAGATTCAGTACTTGAAATTATCATTTAAAGCAAAGTGTCTTGTATGGTTTCAACATTGTTCACTCCATTTTCTGGCAGCTGACACTCATTTACTCTCAACAAGTGAATAAGCAGTCGGTGAGTGTCCCTGATGTCAAGGAGCTGTCATAATTTCCATGGAGTTAGCTCTGTTTGGCATTACAGAAATTCACTGTGATCCTGCTGACAACTCTTTTGTATAGTCATAAAGTATACAGCAGAACAGTTTGTCCCAGGGCTAAGGTCAGGCTTTTTATTTTGCTATTATGAGAAATCAATAAATACACAATACTATTTATCTTATTTATTCTAAGGAAGGAGGAGACCAAGGCATATTTTCCTCCTTCTAATTCAAAATATTTCTAACATTATTATTAGATTAGTACTGATGGGTCAGTCAGTACTACAGGAAAACAAAATATGTAGAAACAGTGATAGTCTGTCAAAGTTTCGAGCTAATTTCAAACAGATTGGGTAACGTTTGAATCTTCTATGGAAGCATTCCCCAATGTTTAATCTTCAAGATATCTCTGAATTTATCTTCATCAGATGTTGGATATGTCCCATGTGTCCAATGATCACACTTCTGCTTGACTTCCAGCCCCAGCCCTTGCTCCTCTACCTGGAGTTGCTTCCACTTCACACACGAATGGGCATTTAGGCTGCCATAACCCAAACTCAACGAGCCTAAAACTAGATGGGCCATCTTTTGTTTTTCTTTTTAAAATTTATGTTTTTATTATTATTTTTTGAGACAGGGTCTTTTTCTGTCACCCAGACTGGAGTACAGTGGTGCAATCATGGCTCACTGCATTCTCAATCTCCTGGGCTCAAGCATTTCTCCCACCTAAGCCTGCCAAGTAGCTGGGATTACAGGTGCATGCATCATATCTCGCTAATTTTTTAAAATTTTTATAGAGTTGGGGGTCTCACTATGTTACCTAGGCTGGTCTCGAATGCCTGGGCTCAAGCGATCCTCCTGCCTCTGCCGCCCAAAGTGCTGTGATTACAAACATGAGCCACCGGGCCTGGCCTTCACCATCTTTCTTCTTAAATCACTTATTAACTTGGGATTTGTCACAATTTTATCATCCAAACCTAAAATTTTCCCTCATGTGCTTCCAAAATCTTCTGAATTTACATATTCTCTTAATATTCTCCTTCAAGTTTACCATGCCTCAGTCCCTTTACTTGCTTTAATGGTATTTATTCCTTTCTTCATTTTGTAAAAAGGACACATTCATTTAAAGGAAGCAGAAAATGCAGAAAGATTAAAAGGACATAAAAACCCCTTGCAATGTTATCTATATTTAAGCATTATTAATATTTGGAGCTAAACTTCATGTTCTCCATCTTTTAATGTTAAACTAAACAAATACTTTATAAAGTATTTCTTGATCATGGCAGCAGGATGCATTCTCTTTTTCTTGCTGCCTGTCAATATCACTTGAGTGGCATATACAGTCCTATTGAAGATATTCGTGCAAATATATTGTTCCTTTTTCCAGGTTTAAAACTCTTTAAGGCCAAGGCACATGCTTATACATTTCTTTGTTTAAGACAGATCTGGTACAGTGTATAATGTTAATTCAATATTTGTTGAATGAATATGCTTAATAATTCAGATCTATTTGAATTATCACCGTGAATAAACAAGTTTAATTCTCTTCTATAGAATGAAAATATGTGTGAGTAAGCTGGTTAGGAGGAAGTGAAATTTTTTATTCAGTTAATAATGACAATACAGATTACATGCTTCAGTGAAGCAAATTCCTTTGTATAAAGTACAATACATTGTTGGGTTCACAATTGCAGAGTCATAAGAAAATGTATTTCTCCTCATATTTCTCTCTTACAGAATGTACCATTCAAAATAATTGATGTAAGTATAAAGAATTGTCTTTTTGTGCTACTAAAATTTCCACTACTTATTTTCATTTGTCTTCCCAGCACTTCTTCTGATCAATTGTATATTTTTAAGGCTTTTGGTATTCATTGTTGATATTCCATTTCATTTTATATGTTCTATCTCTAACAATTTCATCTTTTTTGGGGGATGATCTCCCTTTTTTCTGTGTATAATTTTAAATTTCAAATTTCACTGTCTCAGCAACATGTAGTGTACATACCTCTTACTTTCTCCTAAACTAGTCAGATTGCATCCTATTTTTTGCAGAAATAATTCAAAGTTTTTCCTCTTTATAAATAAAATTATTTCCAAGTTAGGGAAATAAAGACAGAAATCCAGCCATACTAAATAAGTAGTACTATAGAACTGCTTTCCCAAGACCATGCATACTTGGAGACACTCAAGGATTATGGCATTTGTCAGTCCATTTTATTACTAGGTCTCAAAAATCTCATTTACTATTTCCTACTTCAAATGACCCAAGTTTCTTCACATTGATCATCTAAGTTTTGCATTCTTTGGTTAGAGTTTCATCAAAAAGCACCTAGTGTTGCACTCACATGCATCTTATTCTGATGATCAGGTGGTATTGTTTTGTCTTCTTCTGTAGTGAGCATTATCGGTATTTGCACCCACCCCATAGCTGCAGTAGTATTTATTCACATTTCTAATTTTAGGATTGTGGAATTTTTTTCCATCACAAACAAATAGGATTTTATATTTTTCTTCCACATAGTCCAAGGGTCATTCTGAAAACAGGATTTCTCATGTGTCACCCCAATACTGCACTGTTATAGTATTCTGCTGTGAATACTGTGACTACTAATTCACTATATCTACATTTGAAAATTGAAACATCAGTCTGTTTGCTGTTCATTTTGTGACAAACTTAAAACACTTGAGCTTTTTGAAGGTCTTGGTACATGAATTTTTATCATATACCTAAAAACACTCAGATACTACTGCTGAGAGATTTTGGGCCATGGTAGAGGTGTTTGTCCAAAAATAGAAAAAAGTAATTGGTTAAGAAATATATACAAGTAAACAGAATTATTTCTAGGTAAGTTTTATTCTACTCAATAATACAAAATGCACTTTGCATGGCATTGTTGTGAGATGTCCATTATAGGCCTTCCTACATTTGATTAGAAAAAGTTATCATAATTCTAGATAGTATAGGAATCAGCTGGAGATTTCTTAGGTCTAACTCCAGACCAGTGGTTCACAAAGCATGCTTATAAGACCAGAAACATCATCACCTGAGTACATGGTAGATAAGTAAATAATGGTCTGCACCCCAGACACAGCGAATCAGAAACTCTGAGGGCAGAGCTCTGCAAGCTGTGATTGAACAAGTCTCCCAGGTGAGTTCCATGAACACTAAAGGCTGAAACTCGGCGAGAACCATTGTTTTTAACCAATTAAAATACAATCTTCAGGTGAGTCATATACACTGCCAAAATTGAGAAAGCTTGAGAATCACCGAATAATAATAATCATCATTTTCAGGTGGTACTTGGTAAATTTACAAACATGTAAACCTGTGGGATTTGCCTAGCCAGTCACACATTTATTAGGATTATTCTCGTGTAGTCGTCTCCTAGGAGAGAGCAGAGCCCTGGGTGATAGGAAAGGCTTGAAACATGAGCAGCACCCAAACAGAGTAGTTTTGGAAGACTTGACATGGCAGGAAAAAGGTGCACATTTGACAGGTAAGGAGAACCTGCATGTTCGGAACCTAAATATTACTGGCTTTGTTGACTTTGTGTTTGTGTGTGCAAATTTGGAGTGCAATGGGATAATGCTAAAAATGTGGCAAGAATGAAAATACTAGAGCATAATGTAGGTAGATAATATTAAGGTCAGAATAAAGGAAAAATATAGGGAATTCAGCATTAGTGAAAGTAGTTAATTTAATATTCTACTATCATCTCAAAATATGACAATATTTTAAATCCCATTTTTGAGACATGATTGCACTTTCTTCTTAATAGCTCCTCCTCTAATAATCTTGATTTATATCTATGCAAATCTAGACTTCTAATGGTTCCGGTTGTTTTAAACATGTAATCTGGTCTCTGAACTCAAGTAGTTATTCTAGATTTAGAAACAGTGCTAGTCATCTGTTAGCACTTTAACACGTAAACCTATCCTGAATTGGAATATGTTTTGAAAATGTTCCATCCCCAGAGTAATTTTGTTCTTGCCTTGAGCCCCTGGTGCCCCAATGCTGTTTATACATTAATTTAGTCTCTTATATGCTTAAGAAGAAAGTATATGAATGCAAATGAGAAAGTCCCAACCTCTGGGATTTGAATCTGAAATTTAAAACAAGCTAAAAGAGCATCAGAAATGGAAGCAGGATTACCAATAACATTTATGATTTAATGATTTCAGGAAGCATTAAAATGATAGTTGTGTATTTATAAGCAAAGCCGTTTATGTATTTTGCTTTTACTTATTTCATTTTTGAGATAAGGCCTCGCTCTGTCGCCAAGGCTGGGGTGCAGTGGTGCAATCACAGCTCACTCAGCCTCTGCTTCCCTTGCTCAGCTTCCTGAGTAGCTAGGGCTACAGGCGAACCCCATTAGGCCCAGCTAATTTTTGCTTTATTTTTTTGTCGATACAGAGTCTCACTATGTTGCCCAGTCTATTCTCAAGCCCCTGGGCTCAAGGAATCTTCCCCCTTCAGCTTCCCAAAGTGCTGGGATTATAGGCGCGAGCCACCGCACCTGGTCTATTTTGCTTTTAAAGTTAATAAACTACTAGTGTTTTAGTTGGAAAAAAAATTCTCTCATGTTATTTGTAGAAATGCTGTAGAAGAAAAAAATACATAATATTATATAAAATTTGCTGCCTTTTCACATGTGAAAGTATTTGAGGTCTAAAATCAGGTATATCTGAGGGCAAAAAGGCAAAGATTCATGGTCATTGAAACAGGAATCTTAAGAGACTGTATCTACAAAGAACATTTCTTGTATATGTTGTAGACACTTTAGCAGTAAAATTTTCTATTTTGTTCTCTGTCTCTTCAGTGAGAGGTACCCTTATTAAAACTCTGCAAGGGAATATATAATTTAAATTACATATTTTGGTATAACTTTAGGCAAGCTTTATAGTAGTAATGCTTTTCACATGTATTGTGCCTTCAGACTATCTTGATATTCAAGTAGATCAGCTTAGCCTGGAAATCCAGTGGAAATATGGATTGTCCACAGGCCAAACAGAAAGTCTTCTTTTGCAAAATCACATGCAGACTTTTCAATATTGAAAGGATTTGTTCAAACTTCCAGTTCTCTGATGATATATACATAACATATAAAAGGTTATCCTTGTCCATCGATGAGTCAAGGGGATAAATGTGTAACTAACACTATCTACAATAAAAATATTTTTGTTACATCAGATTACAGCCCCAAGCTTTATTTAAATTGACAACAATAGGACTCATGTAATAGTGTCGTGAGGATTAAATTAGATTTAGAATCTAAAAAGTAAAAAGAGCCTAGAATAATCCCTAGTAGATACGACAAACATTTAATAAAAATAGTTATTACTGTTAACAGATATGTGATTTATATTAGTAATGTAAAATAGCATACTCTCTCATACTCACATGGACCTTTTTTCTTGTTCCATGCAATATGTTAACAGCAAAACTAGTTTACAGGTGAGAATGACAAGAAGATGTGAAAGATTATTTCAGCTTTCCCTTTCTTTAAAAAGCTAGCATTTCAAGACATAATTTTTTTAAAAATGAAAATTCTAAATTGTTACTTACTTTAAAAGTATTTAAAAGAGATTCTGCCAATGGTTTAATATAAGAACAAAAAGGAGTATTTTTCAGGAAATCAAGCCAGAGATTATGAGTATCCATTCTTGTTGGCAGACCTTATTTGCTTATTTTAAAGGCAGTGAGCAAAAGATGTAGAACTCCAAGAGACAGACGTTGATTAGAAGTTTTTCTTTAAGATGTCATTTTTATTTTCTGAAAAAGCATTTATTTTTAAAACTTGGCACGGATTATTAAGACGGGTACAGCTTAAATTTCCCATTAAAAAATCATATGTCATTCCCAAACCTGTTCATATACACAGAGAAAAATACTTAGGTATGTACTCATTACTTTGGCCTTTCCTTAATCTGAAAAATTTTTTTATAAAACTGAGTATTTTTGTGATGTTGCTCCATCAGCTCATTTAAAAACTACTATATGATCTTGTTCAATGTTGTTTAATCTTAGGACCACTTTGTTTCACTTATAGCTCTAACATCTGTCTTTTTTTTTTTTTTTTGCCACAAACTCTTTTGTTTCTGTGTTTAGTAGCTATCCATGCTTTTTGTCCTCCCACTCACTACCAATTGCTCTCAATATGATGACAATTTAAGAGAATTGTAGCAAGCTAATTGTCTTCCTTATATTTTCCCTATCTATAGATTTGTTTACTCAAGGAGCTCTATGAGAAGTGTCAGGCATTTGCAGAGACAAATTGTCTTGGTTGCATCCACCACTGTTAAAACCTCCAATGTCACAGGGAGACTTGTCTGTAATTTCTAGAGTCACTACTGGAAGTCTTTTTATGAACACAGGTCATCATTGTGGCCACACAAAGGCTCTGGCACTAAAGAACTCTGATAGACAATCTATAAGAATGAAGCTTACATTTTGGCTAACAGTCCTTTAATTTCTTATCTCCAAATTTTAAGAAAATTAAGTCTTCATGATTTATTCATCATACATAACATTTTGTTCATTTGACTTTCATGGTGATTTTTGATTATAGTAAAATCCAACATTCCTATAGAAATATAATTCAATTAACATGTGTTCTAAAATATTCTACCATCTACATTATTGAGTAAACAAAGATAAATACATTTTATTTAATCCAGTGTGTCGAAAGAGTAAAAAAAGATAAAATTAATTTATTTTATTTAATCCAAAAATATGATTTTTACATCTGTTCAATATGAGAACTATAGGTAGGATGTTGGACATATTTTTTAAATTAACGATTCCAGTGTGAAGTGTATTTTATACTTGCAACACAGCTTAGTTTGAACTAGCTACATTTCAAATGCTTGATAGTAACAGTGACCTATGACTACCATATTGGACACCGTGGGAATCAATTCCAAAATAAAAAGTATAAATTACATGATCTTTAAGTGTTCTTTCAGCTTTTCTTTCACAGTTTTCTGTTGAGTGATTTCTATACCTCTAAACTACGTGTTCCAAGAAACAAGTAGAAAGTGAATATATCCTTGAAATATTTAGCAGTAAATAAAAATAAGTAATTTATTATTTCTTATCATTGACTGTTTTGGGAAGGAATTCACTAAGTAGACCCTTTATCATATTATCATCAAGGAATACTACTTATTTCTTGGTTACTACTATCTCTTTGATACATTTAAATACATTATTAAGCTTTTATTATGACCCGTGAGTCCTATTTAATTTTTAAGCAATGCATTTGTAGAATTCCTCTGGTTTTACTAGAGTTAACCTTTTATTTTCTGCTAATGACTTAAAACTCCTCTTAGAAATGTATTTAAATGCTCACGTGTACAAAAGGGAAATTGACTAATAACTGATTAAGTTATGCACAATATTTTATGTGTAAGCTTTATTTTTATAAATCGTGTTTATGGTCTTCCTAAATAAGCAGTTAAGGAAATACATATAAATGTTAGTAAACTATCAATTATACTGATACTATACATGAATTAGACAAAGTTAAAAAATTTAGAAAATTTTTCAACCTGGCATATAACATGTGTCCACCTTGAATATAACAAATCCAGAGACACAAGAAAAAGCCAAATACAGAGAATATGATTCTTTGGTTATGAGCATGAAGCGGTGCTGCAGTGTTTGGGGAAAAGGGCCACAATCATGTCTGCTGGGGATTCACCCTGTAATTATATCACCATCCAGCTGAATGCAAACCTGCAGGGAAAATGGTTAAGGTAGTCTTGTCAAATGTTGTGCTTGCAATCTGTTTCTCTGCATGCTGACAAGAAGGCAATAAAGTCAAAGACAACTACACAACTAATGTATACTGGAGAAGAAAACTAGGCTCAGTTGCAATGTACTGTAACAATTTTGAAGTTATATAGTACCACTAACTTGAGTGACCTAGAAAAATTGAAGTTCAAGATGGTAGCATTATATAAACCAGTGAATCGTGTCATTACCGTATGGATACAAAAGTGGATTATTTATTTTAAATATTCTATTCAGTTATCTGCGTATATCTATCCTGCATATATCCATATTTCACAGACTGCAAGAATACATATAATAAAAGAAGGCAAAAAAAAGCTTTTGAAAAAAGAAAATATACTGGGAAATGTAATTTTAATTCTGTAAATTGTAAAATACTAATCTTGGTGATTTGGGGGAAGGAGAGCTGATGGAAATGACCAACAAAAGTTGACCCTTTGCTAAATAATGAAATTGTATCCTCTGCCTAGCTTACTTGATCTCTTTTAGTCAGCACAGCTGTGTGCTATTAATATTTTCTCTTATAAGGACCCTGAGCCTGAAAAAAATTAAGTTGCACAGTACACAATCATTAAACTAAAAAGCTAGATCTATCTAACTGCAAAGCTCACATTGTTTACAAGTTACTTGAAAGTCTAGAAAATTCAGTTCTGAGTCTTGCCAGTTATGTCCCCAAACAGGAATTTGACCCATTGGACTCCCTTGTGAATCACTAGATTAACCAATGTGCTTATTAGAGCCCTTCAGAAGGGCCAAGACATTTCTTCCTGTGAAATAAATATGGAAACAAGATATTAAATATCTTCTGTGTTTCAGAGGAAAAGTCATGCTCAGATATTAAATACATACAAAAATGTAGCAATGAAATAATTGGTTGCAGGTGCTGTTGGTGACTCACCCATATCTCATCAACACACATCACTCTTGTGCATTCCAACTGGAAGCACCTGAGACTCTTTCTGAAGGCTTTTCTGGCCAAGGTGTCTGGCTCAACTGAAGGGCAAATGGAAATGCATGCATTCATATCACCTGGGAGCAGCCCTGAATCAATGACTGGCAGCTTTGTGGATCAATATCCTAGTTCCTTTGTTCCTTGGTGGGGAGAAACCTGAGACACAGTATACATTGCTTCTCAAAGTTGAGCAGTGGTGTTGGGTTCCAAAGATCTTCATGTGCTACGGTGGTAGTCTGCTCAACATCTCAACATCGTACTGATTCCTTGTCCCCTTGGGATCATACCAGTGCTTCCCTTGGAACATCTCTCCCCACATAATATTAATACTCACGTATTTGCTCAAGTTCTTCTGGGAGAATTTAATGTAATCTGTAATTCCAGTGCTGGAAGTTAGAATTTTAGTATGACAATGGTAATCCTTTAAACTTTCACAAAACACCACTGCTCCATTTGTTTTTTTCCTATTGCAGTAAAATATAGAAAGAGAATCTAGAAGGAAGAGCACAAAGTCTATAAAAATAAGAGGGGATGAGAGAGAAACAGGAAAGAGAAATGAAACGGGAGTTGAGAAAAGGAGGGAATCACAACTCGGGAGCAGAAATGAGTAAAATGTGAGCAAAGCAAAGGATCACGGTGAGGGGAACATTTTCCAGAGGATTCTTTTGAAACGACTTGCTGGAAATTTGGAAAATGAGCAACAGTAATGTCAAATACTATAGCTCTTTGAAAGAGAGAGATGAATGAATAAATAAAAAATATTTATTTGTTCAGGCGGAAGAATCTGGACAAATAAGTGAAATTTGCAGTGAGGATGATGATTGTTCAATATGAGGATGGCCTTTCTAACCGAAACCATCTTCTAGGGTAAAGCTACCTCTTCGTCACTTAACCCCAGCTTCAATGAAGTTGTTCAGATGGTTGGTGTTTCTGAGATTTGGTTTATTACTCATTATCCAATAAACCTGTGAATTTATAGTCAAAAAAAAGCTGATGGTGGGCAGACATTGCTTAATGATCAGCTAGTATCTGCATACCTGCTTAATACCCTGTAACATGATTTTGTCTGAAAACACCTAGTTTCCCAGACTAGCGTCTCTTCTAATGTCAACTTTCCCACTGCACTGCCAACGCAGGCCCATTCATTCAAAATTTAAGAGACATTTGTAGCATTCCTTTTCTGTATCGGGTTTGCTCAATCTCACTGAGAGGAGTCGAGATCTCTACACAATTATCTCTTATAATGAAACATGCATTGATGAGATTAGATACAGTTTATTCCATAGAAAAAAAACCTAAAGTTGCTGTAAAATGTGTTTAGTTATTGTGAATCCTTTCTAGTTGGTTATAATTACGTGATTGGATGTAATAGAAAAAGTGTGTATTCCAGGAAACCTGGTTTTTTTGTTTGTTTGTTTGTTTTGAGACGGAGTCTCGCTCTGTCGCCCAGGCTGGAGTGCAGTGGCGCGATCTCCGCTCGCTGCAAGTTCTGCCTCCCGGGTTCACGCCATTCTCCTGCCTCAGCCTCCCGAGTAGCTGGGATGGAAACCTGTATTTTTGTCTTATCTTGAACTATACCTAACAGGTTAACCTTGGAAAGTCATCTAGCTCTGGAGGACCAAAGTTTCTTTGTCTATAACATGAGCTTGAACAAAATCTCCAAATTCCACTACCTTTGGTTCATGAATAGACTACAAAGATGTGATTCAAATGTGTTGGAACTGAATGCAAAAATTTGTGAGCCTGTGCATTTTTCTGCGAGAGGGAACATAGTTTTAATCAAATTCTCAGACTGTTATTTGAAACATTTTAAGAAATGCTGAATTGTACTACCTTGAAGATCTTACTTTTTCTGAAATACTTTGATTCATAATTCTATGACTCATTACCTCTTTGGCAATTTCGAATAGCCATTTCTAGGAAATAAACTTCTTCCTTAAATAAATATCAAAGTTACACTGATCTTAAAATAATGGTTTATCTAGCCATGAAGTATTTCACATCTAAAAGAACCGTTTACGTTTTTGGCCAATTAAAATTGATACATCAAATGTTAGAAAAAACTGAAACTGTGGGCTGAATTACACAATAAAATTTCAAGAAATGTAGAATTTTGAAACAGTAATAGTGACTAAAGTGAAACAAAATATTTTTTTAAAATATCTCATAAAAGTCAAGTCTGAAACGTAAAATTTCTCAGGTCCTGCATAATGTAAAACGGCTTAATAAAAGCAGCAAATATAAAATGACTATGATAAAATACTCAAAAAATGGATGTTGTCTTTTGTGAGTGTACTGCCTCAATTCATATGTATATGCCTGATTTAAAATAATATATATTTGGATTTTATTGGTGTGATGGTTTTATTTGGTTTGCTTTTCTTGTATAATCCTTAGGGTTAATTTTTTAAAAAAAGTAAAGAAAAATAAAGAAAATTGGAGTAATAAAAACCCTTTAGGAAGTAGTTTGTTAGATATTCATCATTCCTTGAATCTTCAAATTCACTGCTCAGCGTGGGGTAGACATCCTGCCTCACTGAACGTTCAATTACTTTATGGGCTACAGCTCAGAAGGCGAATCACCTTTTTCATAAGCTGCTTGTTGAGAGAAGCTTGAAAAGGATGATATTGTGTGGAGGTTCAATACCTTTGAATCTCATAGTAAAATTACAAAATTATTGTTGATTTACATAAGCATGTTATTTATCTCAAACTACTCACCAGTTAAGTTGAGACTCATTAATTGTACATTTTAGGGTATTATTTCATGAGATTAATGAAATTAGCGATTACAATACGTTTTATTTTTAGGATGCTTTCAAATTATTTACAACCTATCTGTATTACACTACAATCATGTCTAAGAGAGGAATATTGCCATAATTTTGGGGAAGACTGTTCCTATGATGATGAATGAGTGTATTTTTCAAAATCCAAAGGACAATTGACTGATTTCTAAAATTCAATCCTAGGGTAACAAAGAAACTCTGCACTTATAAGCATTGCATATTTGTTTTAAATTATAAGAGCAGAATGTTAGTTCATTTAATGAGTATATATATTTGACTTTAATCTTGTTTTGTTGAAAATAATGCATAAACGTTAATGGAAAATAACTGAAACCAAAGAAGGGAAAGGTAGTTGTGTCAAACACCATATAAAAAGATAAATATGGCTGGGCATGGTGGCTCACGCCTGTAATCCCAGCACTTTGGGAGGCCGAGACAGGCGGATAACCTGAGGTCAGGAGTTCAAGACCAGCCTGGCCAACATGGTGAAACCCTGTCCCTACTAAAGATACAAAAATTAGCCGGGCGTGGTGGTGGGGGCCTATAATCCCAGCTACTCGGGAGGCTGAGGTAGGAGAATCGCTTGAACCCAGGAGGGAGGCAGAGGTTGCAGTGAGCCAAGATTGTGACATTGCACTCCAGCCTGGAGGACAAGAGTGAGACTTCATCTCAAAAAAAAAAAAAAGTGAAATTTCTAAAATAATAAAAAAGTCACTTTAAAAAATCTTAAAATATGAAAATGACATGAAATTTATAGAAGTGTTGTTCATTTTTATATGTAAGCAGAGAATAGTGTGTAATATTTAAATTCTTTCCCTAATTTTTTAATATTCTTTACAACATTTGTTAAATATAAGGTATATTAAACCCAAATGGTGAATTAAACTCAAACTCAAGACACTACATGAAGAAAAATATTCCATCTTCATTATCACTATCCATTTTCTGTAACATTCAGAGTAGTTGAAAACTTACTTTACTAAAGAGAGGTGGGAGAGGGTTAAAATTTGTTATTAATATTAACTGCCTATATGAGTTTTGTGTTCCTTTAACTTTGTTGAATTTAATTATTCAAGTAAAAGTAGTCTATTCAATCATTAATTGTATGCAATTCTATTATGTTATAAACTAGAGTATTTGAATTCCTAATTCTTCCCTCTGAAAATAGTAATATAAGAATTTTATATGACATAATTTGATAAGGATCTGTGACTATAATAAATTATAAATCCAGGTGTCTATTCAGTTTTAGACTTCTGACCTCAAGCGTGTGAAACAAGTGGGTATGTAAGGAGAGATCACATCATTCACGGCATTTGCATTTTATATGTCCTCAAAAGTTTTCTTCTAAAACTGACTGTTTTGCTAATTTTGTAGTAATTTTATTCTAGATTTGTTCAGTTTTGATAGGTTTTCTCCATTCACTGCCAACATCCATTTGAGTATTCGAATACTATGTAGATGTATTTTTAGTAAAATATGTTTCATTTTTATAATTGGATCCACACAGTGCTGGAGAATTCTACGTGTTAAAGATGTATAAAAATAAAACTTATTTAAAAATTAAATGTAAACTTACGTTCTCACAACAGAGTAACTAGTATTTCAAAAATGTTCATATAGCCTTGCAAATAGTTGAAAATATATATTTAGAATTTAGACATTTTTATTCATCTTAACAGTTCTGTTCACTGGGATGCTTTTCCACAATACTCTTAAGTCATTGTTGTAACTGAAAATGATCAAGAGTAATCATTTAGCGAAGACTTTGAGTTGTCTCCATAAAAGAACTTAAGCAGGGAGAATGATACTCCCTGCATTTTTCCTGCAGATGACATTGCATATAAATGACACCTGCCGAATCATGCCAAGACATACAATCTCATCGTGACCATGGAAGCTCATGGCTAACGGTGCTGCCTGCTAGTTGATCCAAAAAGTTGGGTTCCTGCCAGAGATGTAGAGCAATGCAGTACATTGATAATTACTAGCTAGCTCTTTCACCTCTCTTCCCATAAATGTTAATGATAGCCTTGAAATCCCAAAGCATTTCTTTAACATTTCTATTCTTTTTGTGCAAAATTGTGACTGAGGGAGGTTAATCAGTATTGCCAAGGAGACTAATGGTGGAAGTTTCTGCTATGACTCTTATCTCCAGTTCATAAAATACAGAGAATGTTTTTTAGATATATAACACCTTTAGCCTTTTTTAAGTCCTTAAAGTTGGATCCCTTATATCCCACATGTATTATGCAACATTTAGCTGTGAATATGCAGGAGATATTAGACTTGACATAACAGAAAACAATGTTTGATGATCCAGTGAGAGTACATATGAGAGAATTTTGAAAATGGTAGGACTGTTCATTATTATTAATGTTGTTGCTATGTGTGCTCACCCCCTCCAAGTCCTTTCTGCTTTTTTACTTTCTTTCTTGTAATTAAATTGAATAATTTTAAAAATATTTTGAAACCAAGTAATTCTAAATATCATGTGGCAAGAGAAGAGGAAATAAAGTGACCTTTTAACAATTGGGAATTATAAAATTTGTAATATTTATCTTCTCCATTAATTATATCATCTTATGGTTTTCTTTCTTATAGAGCTTTCCTCATTTAGCTACATTGAACCGGGACATATCCATATATCGATCTCAACTTTAGCCGAATTTTCTTAGCAAATGCCGAGCTAGAGCGAAATTTAAGAAGGCATAGTGATAAGGAACCGTATCCCTACCCCCATTTTGTTATATGCTAACATAAGGTCTTGCTGCCTCATTTTTAAATAAACATTTTTATTTTAGAATACATTTAGATTTACAGAAAAGTTGGGGAGAGAATATAGAGTTCACATTCCCGTTATCACCGACAACCAGTTTCCCCTATTAACTTTTTACCTTAATGTGCTAACATTTGTCATAATTAGTGAGCCAATATGCATATATTAAGCCTAATGTTCATTGAGATTTTCTTAGGTTTTACCTTTAGTCCTTGGCTTTCTTTTTTGGTTCCAGAATCCAATCTAGCTCACCATATTACATTTGGTCATTATGCCTCCTTAGGATTCTCTTGGCTATGACTGTTTCTCAGACTTTACTTACTTATAATGACTTTGACAGTTTTGAGGAGTACTAGTCAGGTATTTTGCAGAATGTTCATCAACTGGGATTGACCTAATGTTTTTCTCATGATTAGACTGGCATTATAGGTTTTAGAGAAGAAGATCACAGATGTGTCATTCTCACCACATTCTATCTAGGATACACACTAGCAACACGACTTGTCACTGTTGATGTTGATCTTGATTACCTGGCTAAAGTAGGATTTGTTAGTTTTCTCTACTGCAGTGCAGACTCTTTCCATACTGTAGTATTGGGAAGGAAGTCCCTATGTGCAGTTCACATGTAAGGCTATTATGTCTGCCTCTTTGAGGGCACAGTGTTGACATAAATTATTCTACATGGGCCATGTATAAAATTTTATTATTCCTCCCCATTTATTCAATCATTTACATTATTATGGACACATGAAATTTGATTTTATCATAATTTGGATTATATTCTAATAGTACCTTGTTTCTCTTTTTAATCAAATAATTTCAGCTCTGGCCACTGGAAACTCTTTCAGTTGCCCTGTGTCCTTTGACACACCTGCATCACTACAGAGTTTTTGAAAAGCATTTCTTTATTTTCTGGCATTACAACTTGCATCACTGTTATGTATGTGTATATATATATATACACACACGTATATATATATACACACACGTATATATATACACATATATACATATATATACACACATATACACGTGTGTGTGTATATATATATGTGTGTGTATATCTATCTATCTATCTATCTATCTATCTATCTATCTATATATATATATGTTTTAGCTTGTATATTTTTTGCTCCAGTCTTAGAATCAACCTTCTAAGGAATCCTGGTTTTTGTTGTTGTTGGGTAATGGTACTTACCAGAAACCAGTATCTGGATGCTATGTATGCTCATTGATAGTGGAATATAATTGTGCAAGGGGATATATGTGTTTCTACTAAGCCATGTATATATGCATATCTATAAATTTCTATATCTGTGTCTTCATATCTGTTTGTATGTATATTCATCTGTATGTATATTTAACTTAATGTGTGTTCATATTGATGTATCCAACTATAATCAACTATAATCAATTACCATGTCAATCATTCTAACCTTCTCCCCTTGCTATTTGTAACTTCCCACCCCAATAGTAATAAACGTGGATCCCAGGCTGGGCGCAGTGGCTCATGCCTGTAATCCTAGCACTTTGGGAGGCCGAGGCAGGCGGATCACCTGAGGTCAGGAGTTCGAGACCAGCCTGACCAATATGGTGAAACCCTGTCTCTACTAAAATTACAAAAATTAGCCGGGCATGGTGGCCTGTACCTGTAGTCCCAGCTACTCAGGAGGCTGAGACAGGAGAATTGCTTGAACTCGGCCAGCGGAGGTTGCAGTGAGCTGAGATCATGCCATTGCACTCTAGCCTGGACAACAGAGCGAGACTCCATCTCAAAAAAAAAAAAGAAAAAAGAAAAAAGAAAAAAAAAAACCTGTATCCTACCATTGCCATCAATTTAATTACTTGTTAAATTCTTGTTATCATGTATGGGAGTTTCAGAATTGTTAGTGGTAGCCCCCTGGAGAATAACTTTGTCAAACAGAGAACAGGATTTATGTGCAATGACTCTAGTCTTGCAAACTCTATTTCCAAAGTTGCCTAGGTTAGCATCACCCCTCTCCCCTGCCACCACATAAGTGAGGTTTTGTTACATTTTCATATGGTTAGATTATTTTTTTCACATTCTGCCTTCTGACATGTGATCCTGACTTCCTGCATACGTTTTAAAGCGTTTTTCATATATTAAGGTTTTCTCTTCTGTATAGTTCTATGGGTTTTGACAATTGCATAATATATATTCACCATTATGGTATCATATAGAATAGTTCCAATGCCCTAAAAAAATGCCCTGTGCTTTGCCCACTCAACTCTCTCTACAGAAAACCCTGCAACTAATAGGTGTACCCTCTCTGTAGTTTTGTCTGTTCCAGAATGTCATATAAATATAATGATAAAATACTTAACTTTCACAGATAGGCTTCTTTCACTTAGTAATATGTATTTAACATTCATTCTTGTCTTTGCATGGCTTTTAGCTTATATTTTTAAGTTCATTATATAGTTGTATCACAGTTTATCCATTCACCTACTGACATTTTGGTTGTTTCCAGTTTTTGCAAATTACAAATGAAGCTGTTATTAATGTTCATGGGCTGTGTGTGTGTACATAAGTTTTCAATTCAGTTGAGTAAATACCTAGCATTTTAATTGTGGGTCTTATAGTGAGACCATATTTAACTTTTTAAGAAACTGCTAAATTGTCTTGCAAGGTGGTTGTGGGAATGCAAAACGGCACAGCTACTTTATAAGACAAATTGAATGTAAGTTCTTGTTACTTTGTGTTCTCACTGAGAATAATATTCTTAGTTTTGTGGATGTTCGCCATTCTAGTAGTTCCGTAGTGCCACCACATAGTTGTTTTAATGTGCTCTAACTTAATGGCAAATATGTTGTGTATTGTTAATATATGTTTACTTGTCATCTCTATATCATTTTTGATACCGTGTCTTTTTGATTATTTAATAAATAGCCCAATTTAGTAATTGGGCTATTTTCTTAAGGCTGGGTTTCAAGAGTTCTTTATTTAATTTGGATATATGTACCTTATAGAATATGTCTTGCAAATATTTTCTCCCAGGCCATGCTTTGTCTGTTAATTCTTTTAAGTGTCTTTTGAAGAGCAAATATTTTAAACTTTAATAACGTCCAAGATCAATTTTTTATGGATAAAGGCTTGTGTGTACCTAAAAACTTTTCTCTAAATCCAAGAGAAAATCCATTTTATTCTAAGTATAGTTTTTTAAATTTTACATTTAGAACTATGATCCATTTTGAGTTAATTCTTGCACAAGACATATAGTTGGTGTCTGTTATTTTTATTTTAATATGTGAATGCTCAGCATTATTACTTTTTTTATCAACATTTCAACAAAGCAGAAAGATTATCCTCTCTTCATTTCAAATGCCTTTGTTAAATATTAATTTTGTTTGTGTGGGTTTATTTTACTGGTTTTCTACTCTCTTCCATTTTCTATTCCTCTGCCAATCCCTCATAGTTTTGATGACTGTAGCTTTATTTGTCTTGGAATACAGTAGCATGAGTCCTTCAGTTTGTTCTTTTTTCAGTATTGTAGCTATTTCATGTCTCTTTCCTTGCCATATAAGTTTTAGACATGGTTTGTTAATATCAGTAAGATAGCTTGCTGAGAGTTTGATTGGGATTGTGTTGAATCTATAGGTCAGTGTAGAAAGAATTGACATTTAGAAGTATTGAGTCTTCCAAGTCATAAACCTGGAAGATATTTCCAACACCCTCTTCTTTTTACCCTGAGAAATAACAAAATAGTGATATTTTTAACATGTTTTCCTCATTAAATATGTCTTATAAATTATGTAGGTCCAGAAGACAAAAAAGAAAAATAATCTCCATCCAACAAACAGCATAGATTAAGATTAAATAGATATACAAGTATCTGGGTCTTGCCAATTAGGTTTTCAAGTGCATTCATACAAGAAATTTACTGGAACACATTTTGATATATATTAATTATAAGGCTGCTTTAATATTATAGATGGCATAGAAATTAAAATTCATTGTGCAGAAGATTGACACATATGGTCAGAGAGGAAAGGAGACTCAGGGAGCAGCACATTATTAATTAGAAGATGGGGGAGGATAAACATAAGACTCTCTGGAGAAAAAATTAAGGACATGAGACAAGAAATAACCTGAATCTGTTTTGAAGGGATAGAGATGCATAAAAGGACTGGGGTATTAGAAAAGACTACTTTGAAAAAAATGAGAGTTTTGAGTTATGAGACCAGAAATGAATGGCTTAGAAAGGCATCCTCTTCTACCCACAAATTATACTTGAAAAATAATAATCAAAATATCATATGTTTTAAAAATAAAACACAGGCTTATTATTTGAATCTCAAAATTTATTTTCAAATTAACAAACTAGTATTTGTCTGTGAGTTACAAATTCTATACATTTGACCAAGTTCCATTTACAGAGTGAAGGCAGATTTTCTTCTTAATAAAAGACGCATTTTAAGAATTCTGAAATGTAATTGAAAGAAAAGACTGGCAAAGACATATGAGGACACAAATATTCCAAACAATTATTTGGTTGTTAACATGCCAACAAAAGGTTGGTTTTCAAAAGACCATGTTTTTTTAATTTCAGAAAAATACGGTTTCAGTAATTCTCATAAGTAATTCAGCGATGAGCTATCAGCTACCGGTAATGAATTCTCCTACAAAGGAATAATTTATTCCCAGTGTACTCACACAAGCTGGGATGTTACCAGGAACTTGAAGCTGTAAAAGAACCCTATCTTATTAGCTACAATGCCTCACTCATAATACATACCTCATGAGTTACATATTAAATGATCAGAGGTTATTTATCTTCATACACTAGTTTGGAAATGGATGAATCATTTCTCATTTCTTCTGAAAGACATACATTGTGCTTTTGCTCAAATTTCAATTTCAGAGCTTCAAACTTGTGATACTTATCTAAATGAAGGATTAGACTCACATTTGCACACACACAAAGCACAAAACAAGTGAACTACCATATCTAAAGGCAATAGATATTACAATGAAACACATTAACAATAATGTTTACTTTTCTAAAAATGTTCAGTTATATATTAAAGCAAAATGGTATTTCACCCTAATTCTATGCAAATGTTTTTGTTAAGGCATTCAGTTGCTTAATTAATGGTATTGAATTTTAAAAAATCTATTGGTTTGCAAATCAGGTTCTTACGCTTGTATCTATCATTCTGTTCTGAGAGGGTTGATTTATGGGTACCTATAAATAAAACAGAAATCTAAAAAATTTAGTGAGTGGAGCCCAGCATGCTTCAAAATGGAAGTTGAAACACCACCGTATACTATGATCAAATATGTTGACTTAGAGTTACTAATTTTACTTTAGGCTTGATAAGAAAGGATTGTGTGTAATCTGAATACTTACTGGTAGTGAGCATATGATTGTGTGCCTGTAAATACAGAATATCATTGATAATGGAAACTCAATGTATCCAATGCTTAGTTATTTACACAAAATACATCAACTCATCATGAATTAAAGACTAGATCAAAGTCATAAAAAGTAAAAAGATACAAAAGAAAAATGCATTTTTCTTAGATAATATCTTCATTAAAATAATAGTTAAAAATTAGTGGGGCTTAAATTTATTGCTGTGTATTGGGGCTTGTGGTGTTCTTTATGTGTACTTCACCCCATTTAACCTGAATAACAACATGCTAGTTATAACCTCATAGCTTTAAAATGGAGGCCATTCTGAAGGCCTAACTTCATTGGGTCATCTCTAATATAACATTGCTTCTTTTGTAATTCCAGCCTCATTTTTCTTTATTTCTGTATTAGCCCATTTTCACATTTCTGATAAAGACATACCCAAGACTGGGAAGAAAAAGAGGTTTAATGGATTTACAGTTCCAGATGGCTGGGGAGGCCTCACAATCATGACAGAAGGCCAGGAGGAGCAAGTCACATCTTACATGGATGGCAGCAGGCAAAGGGAGAGCTTGTACAGGGAAACTCCCATGTTTTAAACCATCAGATCTTGTGAGACTCATTCACTCTCATGAGAACAGTACAGGAGAGACCAGCCCCATAATTCAGTCACCTCCCACCATCTTCCTTCCACGACATGTGAGAATTGTGGGAGTTAAAATTCAAGATGAGATTTGGGTGGGGACACAGCCAAACCATATGACTTTCCTAAACTGACTGCTTGATATTTGTATGCATTATGTATGAAAATACGTATTACTTCATGTAAAATGAAAGCTGTTTGATTATGCTAAAGAAAACAATTTTGTACTGTATCTAGAAAAGAAAATGTTTAATTGGTCAGCATTAAAAGAATGAGTAAAATCCCAAATCAAAGTTTAGAATATACTAAATGTAATAATTACCTCCTTATATCATTCTCTTGTAATGTCTAGTTCTTCAAAAAGCTTTATAGGAAATGGACGTAGGTACTATTGAGAGTAGAATTTTAATTTTAACTCAGGGAACTTAAAACTTTTATGTAATGACCTTCACAGTATACATTTTGCAACCTGTTATTTTAGGGCATTATCAATTTCTCAGATCAAAGTTTGAATTACAGTTATAATATTCTGTTCACCAACTTCCTTATTTAGGTACAAAAGGTTTAAAAGATCTAAAATATAAATGCATGAAAATTTAGAAAACTGTTTTTCTCCTCAAGGAAGCACCAAAATGGAAAAAATAATGACACTGGTTACTACTTTCTTCTTTTATATAACTCAGTTGGTTTTAAGTTTCAGCTTCAATTCCTCAGTTTTGTTCTATTTGGTTTGGGAAAGTGGTACATTATGTATATACAAATTTATGTGTGTTTGCCAATGAGTGTGTGGTCACGTATATCTTTGTGATTTATTATAGTATAATTTTACCCAGTTTTTCCAAAGATATATTTAATAGTACTAAATAGAAAATCTATGATATCCATACTTGTTCATATGGGATATCTTTTTCCACTTCCTTTAAGCAGGAAGTAATTTCTTAGACTGAAATGAGCTTTAGACCATTCCTATCACCTCAGCATGCAGACAATATTGGTCCCTCAAGGGAAGATAAGTTGCTGATAAATCTGTAGTATAACATTAGAGAACTCAAGAGCCACAGTATCAGATTGTCCCAACAAAATTTTAGAGCACCTTGTTTATCATATGCGGAATCTATGAAAGCTAATCTAAGAGTAGATAGTAGAATAGTGGTTACCAGGAGCTAGAGTAGTTGATCAAATGATATAATATTTTAATTAAATAGAGATGTTTAAGAGATCTATTATACACCATGGTGACTATAGTTAACAATACATTATTGACAAATGCTGAGAGTGGATGTAAAGTATTGTCAATACAAAAATAATTATGTCAGGTAATGCATATGTTAAATAGCTGAATTTAGTCATTCAGAATGTTTATATACTTCAAAATATAATGTGGCATATAGTAAATACATACAATTTTATGTCAATTTTAAAAAATAAAAAAATGAAAAAAGAAAACTATGAACCCTTGAGCACTTTAGAGAGAGTAGAACTTTCCTGTTACATTCATAGGATAGTATTTAGAGACTGTACTTCGATCAAGTATATGAGCACAGAAGGACCTAGTATTAAGAGCCCCGGAGCAAAATAGTCATCTCACAGAAACTAGATCAAAGTGTTAAGAATCATTTAAGCAGCTACAAATACTTCCTGAACCATATTTTGCCCACATTACTTGACGGTTATTCTTTATGAATTAATATGGAAACTTAAATAACCTACTGCACACTCTATATAACTTATTGTAAAGAAGTAAGCATGTAAAGTCATACGGGCTCAAACTTTCACGTACCTGTGAGATAGTGTTCCACTTTATCTACCAAAATAATCTTTATTTATGATAATGGTTGATTTCCCTTATCTTTTAGGTCACAATACATGCTTTTGACTAATGTTATCTGCTTCCATACTCAACATAATTCAGAAATGTTCTTCCTAAAAAATAACATGCTGAATGTCATATGCTCCAAATTGTGTGTAACTTTAAACAAGTTGGCAGAGGGCTGCCTCCTACAAGTCTGTCCCCTGGCAGTTACCCCTCTCACTCCTCATCAGCCACACACATAGAATTACATACTATTTAGAAACGGGCTAATGTAGGCATGAGAAATGTAATGTCTTTGTCATAATATTTGTCACTACTTTTAATAATAACCCTTCTAAAACTTGTGCAGGAAGTTAATACTTTTCTTTAAATAAGGTTTATTAAAATCCATTAAAAATGCTATAACTTTATCAAAAATATATCATTTTTTAAAAATGTAGAACAGAGCAGTTGAATAGTTTCTCTAGGTGTCAAATTTCAACAATATTTGTTATTGCCACTATATAAAATCTTCTAAATAACAGAATATTTTATACCAAGGAATTATGGCATATGATTTCCTGAAAATGAAATTTTCCTTGATGATTTAACATTTCCAACAACCCTGATAATCATCATCAAATATATATTTGTTAGGTTATTACTAGTTACTAGAACTATAAACTAGGCCGTATATTTAAAAAACAATTTTCTTCTTGCAGATTATATGTTACATGGAAAATCCCAAAACTTTATGGCACACTGTGCATGAGTAATAACAACAAGAAGAAACTGGAGGCTTATGTTTTGAGACTGGTTCACACAGAAACTGCAAATAATAGTTAACATAGGGAATACGGTGATGATGAGTTCATTAGGGAGAAATAAATATTGTATTGCATTAGCCTTCATATTTTAGGATGGGGTATACACTGGATAGTTAAGAAATTTTATTTTATAAAATAAATTTGACCATATAATGCATAGAATATGGTGTTCTTTTTTTTTTAAGTTCTGGGGTACATGTGCAGAATGTGCAGCTTTGTTACCTAGGTGGTTTGCTGCACCTATCAACCCGTCATCTAGGTTTTAAGCCCTGTGTGCATTAGGTATTTGTCCTAATGCTCTCCCTCCCCTAGCCCCTCATTCCTAGACAGGCCCCAGCATATGATGTTCCCCTACCTGTGTCCATGTGTTCTCATTGTTCAACTCCCACTAATGAGTGAGAACATGTGGTGTTTGGTTTTCTGTTCCTGTGTTAGTTTTCTGAGAATGATGGCTTCCAGCTTCATCCATGTCCCTGCAAAGGACATGAACTCATCCTTTTTTACGGCTGCATAGTATTCCATGGTGCATATGTGCCACCTTTTCTTTATCCAGTCTATCATTGATGGGAATTTGGGTTGGTTCCAAGTCTTTGCTATTGCAAATAGCGCTGTGATAAACATGTGTGTGCATGTGTCTTTATAGTAGAATGATTTATAATCCTTTGGGTATATACCCAGTTATGATGCTGGAACAAATGGTATTTCTGGTTTTAGATTTTGAGGAATCACCACACTGTCTTCCACAATGGTTGAACTGATTTACACCCCCACTAACATGGTAAAAGCGTTCCTGTTTCTCCACAGCCTCAACAACATCTGTTTTTTCCTGACTTTTTAATAATTGCCATTCTGACTGGCATGAGATCGTATCTCACTGTGGTATTAATTTTCATTTCTCTAATGACCAGTGATGATGAGCAAAAATCACAAGCATTCCCATGTACCAACAATAGACAAGCAGAGAGCCAAATCATGAGTGATCACAATTGCTACAAAGAGAATAAAATACCTAGGAATACAACTTAAAAGGGATGTGAAAGACCTCTTCAAGGAGTATTACAAACCACTGCTCAAGGAAATAAGAGAGAACACAAACAAATGGAAAAAAAATCCATGCTCATAGATAGGAAGAATCAATATTGTGAAAATGGCCATACTGCCCAAAGTAATTTACAGGTTCAATGTTATTCCCATCAAGCTACCATTGACTTTTTTCACAGAATTAGAAAAAAAACTACTTTAAATTTCATATGGACAAAAAAAGAGCCCATGTACCCAAGACAATCCTAAGCAAAAAGAACAAAGCTGGAGGCATCATGCTACCTGACTTCAAACTACACTACAAGGCTACAGCAACCAATACAGCATGGTACTGGTACCAAAACAGAAATATAGACCAATGGAACAGGACTGTGTTCTTAAAATATGAATTTTTCGACTGCATTTGAAAGGAAAACAAATATTTGAAATGGTCAATTGAAATCGACCACATTGAAATAATTTAAAGAGGGTGAAATTAATATATTCAAAAATAAATTCTGCCAGAATCATAGATGTTTGGGACCCATTTCATGTCTGGGCACCTGTTATTATGGGCATGCCTCCTACACTGAACTAAAATTTACATCCCTGAAACTCCAAGGCTTTCGGTTCTGTCCCAAGGTAAATCTACATCCTCTTCCATGTGAGAGCCTTCTGAGTATTTGATGAATACCAGTAAGACAAATGACCCCAGGTTCTTCACTTGTTCTTTACAAGAGAAGTTTTCTGGTCTCTTCTGAATTCTGGTTAGTCTTCTCTAGGTTGCAAAGATCTTTCGTAAAGCAAGAGTTCTGAAAAGATCAAATTTTATGTGTGATAAAATGGCACGCTATTGGACCATACTGAGTCTGCTGTTTAATTTTCAACCAATTCTTAAATTATTTCCACAGTGAACTACATACTGGCTGGTATTTTTTTAAGAATCTCTCACTTACATACAAACTCACTTTACCAATCTCCAAGTTTTAATGTCAGTCAATACTCTCTTTTGTTGTTGTTCTCCCAAATACAAATGTTCAAAATCTTACTAATGTAACTTTCTTCAGTGCCTGCTCAAAGGCTCAGAAATCACTTTTTAAAATTTACTTTTTAAGATAAAAATTGATTAAAAGTATATCATTTACTCCAACCATTCATATGATGTAATTACTATGTGTTAGAGACTTTATTAGCAAGAGCATATTCTGCAAACAAGGTAGTCTGGGCTTTGGTCTCACAGGAGTGATGATGGACATGTCACTATGCGTCTGTATGCTTTAGTTTCATCAAATGAAAATTTAGAGAGTTTGGTTGTGTGAGGAGGAATGGGTTTGACTGAATCAGGAAACCTTAGTGGATTCTTAGTGATTGTATTTTTCATTGGTAAATTCCCATGACCTATTCCCAAAGCTATTCCAGGGATTTTAGGATTTGATATAAAAAACTACAATTTTCATTTCATGTGAATATATTTTTGTTATTTTACAGTAAGAAAATGTTCATGTTAAAACTATATGAGCAACATAGGACAGCAAATGAATTTTTAGTACTAAATATAAAATGCCTCAAATATACTGGCATCCAATAATAAGATTTTAAAATATCAGATTTTAAAATCGATTTAGACTTAAGTAACATTGGCCATGTGTTCAAAAGATGGGATTTTAATATACAGACTATTGAGATCTAATACACTATGAATATCCAATGAATATTTTCAAGTTAATTATTCAAAAATCAACATTTTCTGAACAAAAAAATGAAAAAGATAAGTTCTTAACCATAACGTAGAGTAACATTTACAATCCAAAACCTTTTGATCTGAAATATCAAAGATTATAAAAAATATTAGCCTATATTTGTAGAGGACATAAACTTTTTAAATATAATTTAAGAATATAAATTTATAAACAATCATGTAGTCATAAGGAATTTAAAATTATAATCTATGAATACTCATCAAAAATCACATTAGAATTTATAAAGATCCTGAATTTATAGTAAAAGATTTATTGCTTCCATGAATTAGCAATTTGGCTGAGCTAATTTGTAAATGATGTGGTCGCTTGAAAGACTATACACAAAAGAAAATTGGTAAGCAAAAAAAAAAATACAAAATATCGGAAGAATTACTGAATTGAGAGAATGAATGCTCTCCACAATCAATGTCATTAAAAAAGCAACTTTCTGAAATAAAAGAGAACTGTCTACTTTTTTCTTTGTCCCTTTTTTAGTAAGCAGTTTGCCTCTGGTTTAACAATATGAACATACTTCCTTTCCCAGCTGGAGGCATCCGATCCTGGGAATATTGATGTATGTACACCCCGTAGATTATACTTTTCAGACTAGATGGATTTCTAAATTCAAGATCTACCAAATACTTCCACAATTCTAATTAAAATAAGAAGTTTGGGAGTCAGAAACCTTTTGCCCTAGAGGCTTGCCCCACCATGTATTAATTTTCACCATTATTCCATTTAACTGGGGTTACTCATTTTTATTTCCTAAAAAATTCTATATCTGGAAAGAGGTACCATTCTACAGCATTTCTGGCAAATCATAAATTAACCTACAGTAAATGACATTAAGGAGATAGCTTTGTTCTGTAAATGGATAGGATACCATATGGCTTTGATGTTAGTGTGAAGTTAATCACAAGCTCCATAACAGGCCATGACATCATTTCATAATAAATTGCATGAACAAATGCTGCCGTTATCTGAACAGCATGTGAATTTTGGTACCTATAATCTTTAGGGAAAAATGAATATAAAATATTGAGTTAAAAAATAGATATAAGGATGGTACCATAGCGTCTCCACTAAAAATACAAAAAACTAGCCGGGCATGATGGTGGGCGCCTGTAGTCCCAGCTACCTCGGGAGGCTGAGGCAGGAGAATGGCGTGAACCCGGGAGACGGAGTCTGCAGTGAGCTTAGATCGTGCCACTGCACTCCAGCCTGGGCAACAGAGCGAGACTGCATCTAGAGAAAAAAAAAAAAAAAAAAAAAAAACAGAAACGTCTAAGTTGCAGGAAGTCAGTAGGTGTACTTTTGGAGTCATCTTAAAAAGAGACGATAGACATTTCTTCCATTTCTCCCTTTGCTGCCATCTGGCAGGCAGCCTACAATGTGATTGATCCAGTAGGAAGAGTACCCTATGGGCCAATCTATGAGCCCTGCTAGCTACCCTGGAAAGAGGCTGAGGTGCCTTTTTTCAAGACCCCAACACTAGCTCCACACCACCCAACCACATCGTTTAAATTTCAGTTATTTTCTGGTACACACTGGTACACATTTGCCAATTATGTACAAAGACTGTCAATGAAATCAGCTGTTCACTATGAGATTACAGTGTGGCTATTCTTTTGTAACAAAGTACTTGATTATCTAGAGTATTTTACTTCAAAATATTTCTGAAAACCATACTTCCCTGTGCCGAATCCTCAGTCAGAAGAGAGCTGACAATCAATACAGAAGTAACATATTGTTGGAAAGAATAATTAGAACATTAATGAAAACTGATCTCATTCATTTTTCTTAAAAATGGAGGAAATAATGTTTTCTGATTTCTCTCCATCATTCCAAGTGCAAGGTACCACGTAATTTATATGTAATTCAAACATCAATAGAGAGATTTTTTTTATATTGATTGCTCCCACTTTAGTAGTGCTCTATAAACAAATAAAGAAATTAACTGATTTTACCCCTGATCAGATGATCTTTCTTTGGAGATGTGACATTTAATCTGATTATTCATGAATATGTTAATGAGAGAGTTATCACATGCCAGTCATTAGACACTGAATATTAAAATGCAACCAGTCATGCAGTGTTGATGACAAGCTTCCTTTTCCAATTTGCAAGGAAAGAATAAGCAAACAAGATGAGTCTAATCTCTGGGTTTTGTTACTTTTTGTAAAATCTTCAGTGGCACTTATATGTGTCAAGAAAAAAATAATTTCTTAAAATCGCAAACTCAGGGACTGCAATGTTTTTTGTCACTCATTCCAATTAAACCAATGGCACTTAAATTTAACAGGAATGAGACTTTAATAATTAATAGAGTACAGTTGTGTGTTTCTAATATGCAAGCAATTCCAAGTTGATAAACAGCTTTGGATTACCAAAGTTTACTGGTAAAGCTACTGTTAGGAACTTAAACTAGTCATGTATTTTCTGTAAGAAATTACTTTGCAAAGAATGGTAGGAAATCAGAGATTTAATCTCACTCCACCAAGACCCTCTGAGGGCAAAGAAAATGTGCGTCCAGGAATAAGCACAAGGCCTCAAACATAGCACACACAAAATAAAGATTAGATGAAGGAAGAAAGGAATGAAAAATACCTGGATGTGCTATACTAGTAGTGTATAAAAATCTAATCATTATTTAAACTTTGTTTCTATGTGAAAACTTAATGGAAGATTCCATATTGGCTCTAAGAAACACAGCAGCTCTCTTCCTACCTGTCTGCCTTAGTAACCAGCAGTGAGTGACACTTTTCTCTTACAACCAGCCAGTGGCCTCAGGATGCTATGCTAGTAACAGGAGAGCATGAAACTCCTGAAGTGTCAGGGGCTGTCATGGCTTTGTGTGGACATTCTTAGGTGAGGTACAGCGATGACACATCGTAGAGAAGAGGAGGTGGGGTAGTCAATCGCCTCAGACACTAAACCATAAAACATCTCTGAAAGTGTAAAGCAAAGAAGAAAATTGTATTCATCAGAATTCTTCTTAAAAGAGAATACTGGGTGTATTACAAGGACCTCTTGGTTAAGCTGCATGGGGTAGACTGTAAGAGGCTTTTGTCTGTTCCACTCACAGCAAAGCCCGTATGCTCCAGGAATTGTTAGTAATTGCTGTGTTTGTTTGGTGAAGTGGATGATATAAGAAGCAGGGAGTGCTGCCTTCCGGAGTCCTCCTTTTCTGCCTTTGTTCTCATCCAGGTGCCAGGACTCATCTCTAAAAAAAAAAACAGTTGAGAAAATATTTAGAGTATCAGTTTGAAGGGGTTTCAAATTACTCTGCTAAGAGCACCGAAATGCCTGTCTCTAGCCAGGAGTCAATAAATGGGGCAGGAAAAAGGAGGGACTGTTCCAGTGGCAAGTGAATGGAGCCGCCTAAAGTATTGCTTGCTCACTTTAGCAAACTGCCTTATAGTATTAAACAGTACATTATGAGACTGTTTTCACCAAACATCTTGAACAACAGACAGGTGCATTTTTCCTGTTATTAAAATGTGGGTCATAAAGGCAAAGCTACAGAGACGGAAAACAGATCAGTGAATTCCAGGACACAAAAGTAGGGGAGAGGTGGACTACAGCGGTGCCCACAGGAATTCTGGGCAGGGCAGGGGGGCGGGGGGTGATGGGATTGTGCTTTATCTTGAATGTGCTGGTGATTACCAAACATATGCATTTGTCAAAACTTATGGAACTGTATGCTAATCACAGTGAATTTTATGGCATGTAAGTTATATTTTAACTTACGAATTTTTAAAAGGCATTATATTATTACTCTGAAGATTCAGATAAACATACACACACATATGAAATTCAGGAGGTGTTACTAGAAAAAAAGCCCAGTTTCTCCTTATCTAAAAAAATTGCCGAAATGGGCTATGATTTTTTCAATATCTTTTCCAATTTTTGCCTCTTATAATTCTGTGTTTAAATAACTAAAGAAATCTGAAATTACTTAGCAACTTTGTACTAGCAATGGTCATTATTTTACAACCTATGCTCAGATACTAATTACCTTCTCATAATTGTCCAGTATGCAACTGAGAAGGTCAACCACTAAAATCATTTTAATTTCCCTTCAGCTTCACTGATTATTTGTAGAGAGCATTTCGTTTCTAGGTCAAATCGTCTTAATACACACAGATCACTCTGGTTGAGCCAAACCAGATTTTCTTCAAAAGCTCTGACATTGAGACCCTGCTCTGGCATTTCATTTGTTTGTATAGAAAATGTTAGGCGTCTCTTTGCCAAGTCTAAGCTGTGATTCCAAAATCCCCTCATAACCTTGCTTTTCAACTGTATTCCAAACATATATAAAACTGAAATTGACCCTACAGTCATTGCCAGAGGCATACATAGAGAGAAATGTACAATCACAGTGTCATTGGACACACGCATATAAATTGCGTATCTCTAAACTTCGCAAATCTAATATGGTATTCACAATTTGGGCAATAATGTCAGCAACAAATTTAATTAAATAAAAACCTTGAGAGAAATAGTGGTTTATTTCTGAAAACCAAATATTGAAATTTTGCTGAGTGGCTTACTTTAAATGATCAGAGGAATGCTTCATAAATTCTTGCAGTAGCATCGTAAGACTTTATGACCATAGATTCTCTGATACATTTATTGGGACACCTTGTAAAATAGTGAAGTTGCAGAAACACAAAGGCATAGTTTTTAATTTCACATTTTTCAATACATATTACACATGAAAACTAAAGTTTTAATTAAACAAAGGAAGTCTTAAGTTTGCATTTTATACATTGATTGACAAGATATCTCTTAACATAACATGCATAGCCAAGTTCCTTGTGTCACTTGCTTTGCTTTTTTCATTCTTCCTTAATTTTTACTAGGATTTTATTTTCTATTTCTTTTTCAACAGGAAGCTCTGAAGCCACCACCTAGTTCACTTCAATAGTTATGTGCTTTTCTACGTTTCACCACAATTTTCTCAGTAGTTCAGACGTATCACTCTTGCTCGATATTGATTGAGTTATATAATCACTATTAGCAAATGCTCTTTGATTTGATCCTTTCTAATGTGTATTTTCTCAGGGACAGGACCAGTTTTGAAGTTGAACACACACTGGTGTGTAATGTGCATGTACAGAGTGCCTCTGAACTATGCAGAGTAGGAATTGATTCCTAAACCCCACATAAATGTAACTCAGACTGGTTTAGAAAGGCTATTGGATTTGAAATGGCAAAATACTAAGATATGGGAAAAAATAAGATACCAGTTTAATTTTAAAATCAGTATTAATCATGTTTACCTTATTCTTGATTTTTTAAAGGAACAAAAACCAACATATATGTTATTTGATTTGTACAAATTTGTATTATTCTATATAACATCCATATATATTGTCCATAACCATGTGATCACATAGTGTGTCTATAAGGACCTTGTATCTAGTCATATGTGCACCTGTTGCAGTAACCCATGCTGTGTAGGCAGGTTCTATGACAATTCAAATCAGTTCTAGTGATAAATCAAACCTGTTGGTTGCTTTTATTGAATGTTGTTCTATTTCTGTCTGTAAGCGTATAGCCAGGTTAAGAGAAACTGACTGAACTAAAGGGGCGCTTATGACTATTCCCTAATGATATCACATCCAAAACAATGAACTGACAGTGACTTAAATTATTAAGCATTAGGAGAAATCCCTGTATCCCTGCAGTGTTCAGTTCCTTGAGGCTCTGACAAATGACCTCCAGTTTGTTGGACAAAGTAGGCGGGATATGAAGGCAGCTCTTATACACATACTTTATTTTGGCTGGGGCAAGTATCACTGGATATCTCATTTGGTAGCATATTAAAATATGCAGATCTTCATGGATCAGACAATATTATTAAAACAGTTTAATACAGTCAGGTGTTTCTTTTTTTTTTTTTTTTTTTTTTCTTTGAGATGGAGTCTCACTCTGTTGCCCAGGCTGGAGTACAGTGGTTCGATTTCGGCTCACTGCAAGTTCCTCCTCCCGGGTTCACGCCATTCTCCTGCCTCAGCCTCCCGAGTAGCTGGGACTACAGGCACCCGCCACCACACCTGGCTAATTTTTTTGTATTTTTAGTAGAGACGGGGTTTCACCGTGTTAGCCAGGATGGTCTTGATCTCCTGACCTCGTGATCCACCCGCCTCGGCCTCCCAAAGTGTTGGGATTACAGGCTTGAGCCACCGCGCCCGGCCAGGTGTTTCTTAACGATGGGAATGTTGTGAGAAATGTGATTCTAGGTGATTTTGTCATTGTACAAAAATCACAGAGTGTAATTCCAAAACCTAGATGGCGGATCCTACTATACACCTAAGGCTGTATGGTATAACCTATGGTTCCAAGGCTACAAACCTATATAACATACAGCTGTACTAATGCTGTAGGCAATTGTAACACTATGGTAAGTATTTGTGTGTCAAAACTTATCTAAAATAGAAAAGGTACAGTAAAAATATGGTAGGATTATCTTATGAAACCACCATTGCATATGTGAAGCATAGTTGACTGAAACATCATTAGGCAGCGTAGGCTGTATGCCTCAGGTGCCAATTATGTGATTCCATCTGATAGCAACTATATGAATATTATATATTTGAGACTAAAAGGCTAACATACCAATTTATTTTGTATGCAGCTTTTAAAATTCATGCTATTTTTACTTGTAAAAGTTCTGTTCACTACTTTAAAAGCTGAAGCACATTACCGGAAAAAGCATGATGTGACATCGTTCTCTACTATAAAGAAAACACCTGATAACCAATAACTTTCAAGGAACACACACCCCATGCCACATCCTATGCATTCTAACCATTTTACAAGCATTATCTCATCTCATGGAATCCCCACAAGTATCATGTAAGATAGATTCTCTGATTATTCCCATTTTATGGGGGAGGAAACCGTACTTCAGAAGGTTAAATAAAACTTGCTTGAGTGTAAAATATATTTTCTTACCTCTCACTACCATTTACTATGATACATTTACTAAGGATTTATTACCCTCTGAACAGGAGCCTTGTGATCTCACATTTCCCAACCCCTCCTCCAGGGAGTGGAGTTGATCTGAGTATTCAGAAGTAAAAATGACAGTAGTTAGCAATTGCTGAGAATTGTCCATGTGCCAGGCACTGTGGTCAACACTTACAGGTATTATCTCATATAATAATCAGAATCTATCAAAGACATAGGTCAATTATTATCACAGTTTTAGTAGACAAGGACACTGAAACTTATAAAGGTTAAAAGTCTTTGTCCACATCACAGCTAAGAAGTGGCAGAGTCCGAAGAAGAGGGAAGGCAGTCTGACTGCATGGCCTGTTCTAGTAACTATTATGAAATAGCCAACGGCACCCAAGACTTAGTAGCTTTTGAAGCTTCACCATTGAGGATGTGCATTTTTAAAGATGGGGTCAGAGTATAAGGAAGTCTTCCTGGTCCTCCTTAAGTTCCACGGCAGGGTGCCTGCCTGTGTACTCTACCTACCTGTTCTAATTCTGGGGATTATCAGGAGAAGAAACAAGAAAGCTATAAAAGCCTTAGCTTCTCATGAAATATCTTAGCAAAACATTTTTATGTGAAAAATGTATGCCACCTTTTATGTTTATGGCCTTGTTTTATTATTTTCTTCTTTTGGAATATTTCTTTCTGGAGTTTACAAAGGAATTATACTGAACGCTGATGTGAATCCCAAAGGAAAGATACGTTTCTTCTCTAATGTTCTCAAATGTCAGGAAATCATTTAGAGAGTGAATGTCTTTGGTGGCTGGTTCTAATTTGCACTGTTGTTTGATAATGTGCACACTGGAGATCAATTGTCTGAAGATCTCCTTAGGGCTAGAAGGTCATCTTTGGTGAATTAGCCTGATGCCTCATTAAAGATATGTCAATTCTCCTTTTTCCTTGCAATGTGTAGAGTATGCTCTCTAAGTGGAGTGGCAAAATGTACATGAGGAGGGAAATTTAGCAAATTAGTTTAATGAGAATTATTGTGTTTATTTGGAGACTTCGATTTGATTGAAAGAGGATTTTACTATTGGGCTTCCTTTTTGGCGAAGGTTATCCGTAGCACCTACTGTAATTGCTTCCTGTAAAAGAGTCAGTATCCATGCAGTTGCACTAATGTGCTCTTGTTTGGTGCATTTTTCTCTTCTTTAATATAAAGCATCTTGACTGCGAAAATTTTAAACTCCAGTGTTTGAAGGATGAATTGATGTTGATTTTCTGCAAAGGAAAATAATAAATAGACTTGGAGAAAGGAAAAGGAAACAAATCTCACTGTTAGAGGTAATGTGGAAAGAATAATAAACAAATGTAAGGAAGACAACATCTGCGAACAGGGTCTATCTATTAATGCTTGTTAGGGAGAAAATGCCTAAAATGTGAATAAGTAAAAGCCTAACAAGAAATAAGGTATAGCAGCCTTCCAATAGTTTGCAATTGAAAAGAGACAAACTTGTCCAGGCACGGTGGCTCGTGCCTATAATCCCAGCACTTTGGGAGGCTGAGGTGGGCGGATCACAAGGTCAGGAGATCGAGGCCATCCTGGCTAACACTGTGAAACCCCGTCTTTACTAAAAATACAAAAAAATTAGCCAGGCATGGTGGCGGGGGCCTGTAGTCCCAGCTACTTGGGAGGCTGAGGCAGGAGAATGGCGTGAACCCAGAGGCGGAGCTTGCAGTGAGCCGAGATCGCACCACTGCACTCCAGCCTGAGGAACAGAGCGAGACTCCGTCTCAAAAAAATAAATAAAAATACATAAATAAATTAAAAAGAGACGAACTTCTTCCAGAAGCAGAAAATCAAATACTTGGGCAGGTTTCTAATAATTTATAAGAGAAGAACATATTTTATGTTAATTATAATGTAGGCCATATTTTATAAGAAGTAGCTGGACAGTTAATTCTGTTTCAGTTCTTTTTCCTCTTTGGATTTCTTTGCTTCTAATTTATTTTTCTGTTTCTATGATTATTTCTCTCAGCTTCAATCTTTAGCTCTTTCTACTCTTTAATCTCTGGTTATGTGGGGTAATGGAAGGCAGGTGCTGGTGTGACAGTGGCCCAGTATCATGACATTCTGATAGATTGTATTCCCTTTGATCTCTACTTAAGAGTTTCATGCAGGTGTTTCGGAGGAGAGAGAAAAAAATGTTTTTCCTGACATTTTTGTCACTGCAGAGAGAATTACAGTTTTACAACTATCATAGAGATTCAGAACAGATGAATATATGTCTATCAGTGAGCATATTAAAACCTAATATTTTGTGGGTTTGTTGTTATTATTTGCAAACTTGGCACAGTAATTGTGAAGACAAAAATTGTTCTTCAGGCTTTGTGAGTCAGATTAAAAAAAGTTTTAAAATTAGCACTAGTTTGTAAATGAGAACATTCAAGAAAAGAACATGAAACAAAATATATGACCTTAAATTATGTATAATTGAAGAGAACTTTTAGGTTGGTGAAGCTATACTTACTGTTTTTTAAAGAAAAAAGCTTATCATAACTTATTTAAAAGACAAATTTTGTTTTGTTTTGTTTTGGTTTTTTATTTTTTTATTTTTTATTTTTATTTTTTAATTTTATTATTATACTTTAAGTTTTAGGGTACATGTGCACAATGTGCAGGTTAGTTACATATGTATACATGTGCCATGCTGGTGCACTGCACCCATTAACTCATCATTTAGCATTAGGTATATCTCCTAAAGCTATCCCTCCCCCCTCCCCCCACCCCACAACAGTCCACAGAGTGTGATGTTCCCCTTCCTGTGTCCATGTGTTCTCATTCTTCAATTCCCACCTATGAGTGAGAATATGCAGTGTTTGGTTTTTTGTTCTTGCGATAGTTTACTGAGAATGATGATTTCCAATTTCATCCATGTCCCTACAAAGGACATGAACTCATCATTTCTTATGGCTGCATGGTATTCCATGGTGTATACGTGCCACATTTTCTTCATCCAGTCTATCATTGTTGGACATTTGGGTTGGTTCCAAGTCTTTGCTATTGTGAATAGTGCCGCAATAAACATACGTGTGCATGTGTCTTTATAACAGCATGATTTATAGTCCTTTGGGTATATACCCAGTAATGGGATGGCTGGGTCAAATGGTATTTCTAGTTCTAGATCTCTGAGGAATTGCCACACTGACTTCCACAATGGTTGAACTAGTTTGCAGTCCCACCAACAGTGTAAAAGTGTTCCTATTTCTCCACATCCTCTCCAGCACCTGTTGTTTCCTGACTTTTTAATGATTGCCATTCTAACTGGTGTGAGATGGTATCTCGTTGTGGTTTTGATTTGCATTTCTCTGATGGCCAGTGATGAAGAGCATTGTTTCATGTGTTTTTTGGCTGCATAAATGTCTTCTTTTGAGAAGTGTCTGTTCATGTCCTTTGCCCACTTTTTGATGGGGTTTTTTGTTTTTTTCTTGTAAATTTGTTTGAGTTCATTGTAGATTCTGGATATTAGCCCTTTGTCAGATGAGTAGGTTGGGAAAATTTTCTCCCATTTTGTAGGTTGCCTGTTCACTCTGATGGTAGTTTCTTTTGCTGTGCAGAAGCTCTTTAGTTTAATTAGATCCCATTTGTCAATTTTGGCTTTTGTTGCCATTGCTTTTGGTGTTTTAGACATGAAGTCCTTGCCCATGCCTATGTCCTGAATGGTAATGCCTAGGTTTTCTTCTAGGGTTTTTATGGTTTTAGGTCTAACGTTTAAGTCTTGAATCCATCTTGAATTAATTTTTGTATAAGGTGTAAGGAAGGGATCCAGTTTCAGCTTTCTACATATGGCTAGCCAGTTTTCCCAGCACCATTTATTAAATAGGGAATCCTTTCCCCATTGTTTGTTTTTCTCAGGTTTGTCAAAGATCAGATAGTTGTAGATATGCAGCGTTATTTCTGAGGGCTGTGTTCTGTTCCATTGATCTATATCTCTGTTTTGGTACCAGTACCATGCTGTTTTGGTTACTGTAGCCTTGTAGTATAGTTTGAAGTCAGGTAGCGTGATGCCTCCAGCTTTGTTCTTTTGGCTTAGGGTTGACTTGGCGATGCAGGCTCTTTTTTTGGTTCCATATGAACTTTAAAATAGTTTTTTCCAATTCTGTGAAGAAAGTCATTGGTAGCTTGATGGGGATGGCATTGAATCTATAAATTACCTTGGGCAGTATGGCCATTTTCATGATATTGATTCTTCCTACCCATGAGTATGGAATGTTCTTCCATTTGTTTGTATCCTCTTTTATTTCCTTGAGCAGTGGTTTGTAGTTCTCCTTGAAGAGGTCCTTCACGTCTCTTGTAAGTTGGATTCCTAGGTATTTTATTCTCTTTGAAGCAATTGTGAATGGGAGTTCACTCATGATTTAGCTCTCTGTTGGTCTGTTATTGGTGTATAAGAAAGCTTGTGATTTTTGTAGATTGATTTTGTATCCTGAGACTTTGCTGAAGTTGCTTATCAGTTTAAGGAGATTTTGGGCTGAAACAATGGGGTTTTCTAGATATACAATCATGTCGTCTGCAAACAGGGACAATTCGACTTCCTCTTTTCCTAATTGAATACCCTTTATTTCCTTCTCCTGCCTAATTGCCCTGGCCAGAACACTATGTTGAATAGGAGTGGTGAGAGAGGGCATCCCTGTCTTGTGCCCGTTTTCAAAGGGAATGCTTCCAGTTTTTGCCCATTCAGTATGATATTGGCTGTGGGTTTGTCATAGACAGCTCTTATTATTTTGAGATATGTCCCATCAATACCTAATTTATGGAGAGTTTTTAGCATGAAGGGTTGTTGAATTTTGTCAAAGGCCTGTTCTGCATCTATTGAGATAATCATGTGGTTTTTGTCTTTGGTTCTGTTTATATGCTGGATTACATTTATTGATTTGCGTATGTTGAACCAGCCTTGCATCCCAGGGATGAAGCCCTCTTGATCATGGTGGATAAGGTTTTTGATGTGCTGCTGGATTCGGTTTGCCAGTATTTTATTGAGGATTTTTGCATCAATATTCATCAAGGATATTGGTCTAAAATTCGCAAATAGACGCAATAAAAAATGATAAAGGAGATATCACCACCGATCCCACAGAAATACAAACTACCATCAGAGAATACTACAAACACCTCTACACAAATAAACTAGAAAATCTAGAAGAAATGGATAAATTCCTCGACACATACACCCTCCCAAGACTAAACCAGGAAGAAGTTGACTCTCTGAATAGACCAAGAACAGGCTCTGAAATTGTGGCAATAATCAGTAGCTTACCAACCAAAACGAGTCCAGGACCAGATGGATTCACAGCCGAATTCTACCAGAGGTACAAGGAGGAACTGGTACCATTCCTTCTGAAACTATTCCAGTCAGTAGAAAAAGAGGGAATCCTCCCTCAGTCATTTTATGAGGCCAGCATCATCCTGATACCAAAGCCGGGCAGAGACACAACCAAAAAAGAGAATTTTAGAGCAGAAATTTTTTTAAAAAGAAATTCAAAAAAATCATTTATTAAAATAGGCAAGTACTTCTAAAAGCAGGGCTTGAAGGATGCACTGATATGTACTTTGATAATGTAAGCCCCAAAGATCAGGACAGGTGTCTGTCTTATTTGCTCTTCTATCTCATTTACAATTCCCTGAATGAATAATGAATGAATGTGTGTATCACAAGAAAAAAATCATGGCTATGGTTGCCATTCGAAAGAGGCACAGAGTTATAACACTAGTCATAGGTAGTGCAGATAGAAGCAAGATCATTGCATGGGGGCTGGAGGGAACTTAAATAACTAGTAGATTACATATAATAACCTCGATTCTCATCCCTCATTCTATGTCAGGCTTAGAGGGTCTGCATACCCCCTGGCCACAGTGCCAGTGGAGAAGGGTTTCTATCCCGTCATGTTCTATAATATGTATCTACGAAAAATGAGATCAGGGAACATCCCTGTGGGTATGAAACAACAAAAACTTTTTGAGGAAGTGAGGAGGTATCTTGTTGGAGATGGGGGTGAGGGGCACTTGGCATCTAATGACTGCATAACTGTATTCTTTTTAACAGCTTGACTGAGATATATTTATTCACATACCATATAGGTGACCCATTGAAACTGTGAAATTCAATGGCTTTTAGTGTATCCACAGAGTTATATGTTCTTAAGTCAGATCTGTGGAGTCAGGTCTCAACTAAGCTACCCAGTGTGTGTGTGTGTGTATGTGTGTGAATTTGTATATGTTTATGTGGGTGTTTGTGGTTAGGGTGGGGAACTCAAGCTGCACTGACTTCCAGATCTGTCTGTCTTCAATAGTGTTGGTAATATACTTCAAAATGAGCAATTTCTTTTTTCCTGTGAGCTCTCTGAACTATATTTTATCTAAAGATACTGTCTGAAATTTCATATTAAGCTATGGGAAAAGTCACATATGTCACTGTTACAGGTGACGAATTACTATGTTAAAACTTCTAGTGAAAAGGTTTCCAACATTAAATTCACATTAATGATTTATAGTCTTGTATTCACACTTTACAAGTGCTTTGCCATGGTTAAGTAAGTCTCACCCATTCTTGTAAAAGTGAAAACATATCTGCTTAAAAGCCTGGCAAAATGAAGCTTAGAAAAATCCTCCTTTTAGAAAATCACATAATGTAGTTCATGAACATGTTCGAGAAGGGAGCTTGAACATGTTCATTGTCTGTTTCTGTGCTTAAATACCATAGCTTTGTGAAATATATGTGAATGCTCACTAGTTTGTGTGTGTGTGCACGTGCACATGTGTATTTATGTGTATATAAATTAGAACAAGCCATTATTTTTAATTATTTACATTAAAATTTTCAGAGGGTTCAGGTATAAATAAATCTGTATAAGTAGTATAATATATAGTAACAGTAATGTATAACATATAAGCTGTAAATTACATAACATAAATATACATTATAGGTAAAAGTATATATACACACAGTAGTTAAATATGTGTATTTTAAAATTATAATTGAGGAAGCTAATTCATCCTTAAGTACATTTCCGGAAGTTCCTCTGTTGGTGGACATATTCTCAAATTTTCTGGCATAAATAATGTTTCAGTTTCTGATTAAAACCATTCTTGTTATCCACACTAAATAGACTTGCCTGGCCAGTATCTAATTTTATGGTGGAGTCTTGAGTCATCAGTTCTACAAAGATATTTAACCTGTTCATGATAATCACATGCAAGAGAAGCTGGTCTTCTGTGACCTGCAGCCAGTGTGCCAGAAAGAAGGTGTCAAGACAAGAGTCGCCTAGTGAAACAGTGCTGGTGAATGGGGAAAAAGAGCAAAAATTAAATGGAATCCAAGCCAGTTTGACACAGGACAAATTATAAAGAAAATCCTAGAACACCCTGGAGAGAAACAATGGGCAATGATTCTTCAACCAAAAAGGCTCTGAGGCAGGGCACAATATCAATGGTCACAAGAGGACAGGGACTCCCGGCCATATGCCCTATGCCCTTGTCTCATCGGAGGCTTGACTGAGGGCAGAGTCTGTAGTGCCAATGGGTGAAGGGATAACAAGAGGCAGGTAAATCCCAGGAGCTGTTTCTACCTCCAGAGAAGGAGGAATCCAGCAATGCTACAGCATCTCAGTCCAAATTGGCTCCCTCGCTGTTTGACAGCAACCTTTAGGGCTCCATTCTGGACTTTATCTCGAGCTCCTTTCCTCACCCCATTTCCTTTAAAGAATGGCCAGAAAATCTGAGCATGATATCCTTCTGTTAAGAAGGAGAAGAAAAAAATAATCTTATATTAGTCCATGATGTACACTGAAAGAAAGAAAAGTTCAGTATCTTTATAAGAACCTTGTCTGAGGGATTATGTTAAAAAAACAAATAACTGAAAACATAATATAATATTCAAACTTCTCTTGTTTGTTTCTTGGTTGTTACTAGGCCATTAAAAATCTTATAAAACATTAATTGTTTAATCTTGGAACAAAATGTATTTAAAAAGGTTTAAAATTCTGCCTTATTCCTCATGAGCAGTGATAAAGAGAAATCACTGGGAAGCAACAAGTGTTGGCAGACTGGTTCAGCATGGTGGCTGCGAAAAGAAAAACATAAGGTCTTACTTGATAAACAGTGCAGCACAGGAAATCCAAGGCTCAAACTCCGTTTTGACCTTCTTGATCCCAACAGTTAGAAGCAATCATTCTCTCCTGTCAGCTTTCATATCTCTTTACCTATTCTTTTGATTAGAGATTTTTAAAAGAAATCTTTTACTCTACTAATCTATAGTCATCCTAAGAAGGGTTCCCGTGTATAAAGAACATGTTTTATATTTACATGCCACAGTTACATTAGCAGTTCCATGAATTTATGGAGACTTAAGTGCAGCTTTGACTCTTCAGCCTCAGCTCCCAACCTTTCCAACTCATCACCCAATGTACCACAATTCTTATCCCATCAGACCCTGGATCTGGCTATAGTCATTTCCTCACCTGACCTGGAGCCAGGACTGCACATGAAAATGAGGCTTCCGTATCACAGGTTGGACAAACCTCTCTCATAAAATGCTTTTGTATTTCTCTACTTCATGGGTACACAGACCACTTCAGGGACTTAAATGTAACCCTTAATACCTTTTATAAGGTAGATGTTGTGTTTTAAATAAGTTATTTTCAAGTGATCCTTTGGAACAAACTTTATGCCTTTACATTTCTATTTTCCAAGCATATAGGGGGTGAGAAAACATGAATATTTTCCCCATGGGAAAGAAGTGAACGTTTTCAAACTTTATAAGGAAATGACTTTTCTCTTTGTAGTTATAATCAGGAAAAAAATAATAAAGCCCATAGCTTGGGGTCATTTTTAATTAGAAAAACTTTTTACCTGCAAAGCAAAAAGTCTACAAACCAGATTTTTATGCTGTGAAAATTTTTTATTATGCAATACTTCTTTAAATGTTTTTTAAAAAACTAATATTTTCTTATCTTATAAATGTATGAAGATTTTGAGTCTAAGAGACCAAATAGATTTATGTTAAAACTTCTCTGGGCCTAGATGAAATTCTCAGATATTTTGTAAGCAATGAAAAATTAATTTTAAAGTGTTTTTCCCCAATGTGTAATGCATATTTATAACCTACAGAACAAAAAACACAATCATATTTTGGATCTTTAAGACCTGACATAGCAAAAAGATAATTTGCTTTGAGGCCCTTTGATGCATTTAATTTAATTTATTGGAAGCAAATTAATGTGAAATGATAAAATTATTATTAAAATGGAAATAGAAGAATAGGAATGACTCAAATCAACAGAGGAGAGAAGTGGCTGATTACCATACTTCATAGGATAATTCCCAATTTAATCATATTAAATCTAATTGTTGGCGGACAGATGATGGGAAATACCGCTCTTGCTTTGTAGTAGACAGAAGAAGACAGAAAAAAATTTTAAAAAGCAATTCAGAATGTCACTAGGATAAACCAAAAAGTAAACTGAAAATGAAGACCAAAGTGGATTTCTTAAGGAAACATTGCCTCTTTACATTGCCAAATGAAAATTTGGTAGATGAATATTCTATGGTTTTAGATAATCATTTGTAACTTGAAAGGGATTTATATACAACTTAATAAATATATATTGAATGACTGCTATTTTCAAGATATTGTGCTGCTGATCTGTCTTCTAGCTGATAAATTTAGCTGAATACCTGGAGCAATAATAGAACCAAGTTTTATTGATCAACAGCAATCTCTATTAAAATGGTAATGAACAGCTTCTGCAGTATATCTTGATATATTTTCTTTTTACTGGGTGTGATGAATGTGTAAAGTAGTAGAACTTATGATACATGTGACATGATGTAAGTTCATGATAAATGCTAGAGGATTAATTTCATATAGCTACATATTGTCATTATTTCAAACTTCAGTGAAATGAAAACATGAGTTTTTCACTGCTGTTTTTAAATTTTTGTGATTTTTCCCCTCAGTGGCAATTCCAAAATAAATGGAGGAAACTGGAAATTATTCTGAATATTGTGTATGAATAACCATCTTATTAAATAGACTCATTTAAAACATTTTCAAAAATTTACATCTTTCTCAATAGGAAATGGGTCCTTTAATTCTGCTCATTTCTCTCCATTTTTAGTGATGTTATTTTAGTCTAAATTTCCATAATCTTTATTCTGGGCTATTATAGTAATATTCCAACAGGCTTTTTCTCTTCCTATTTCTTGGGATATTCCTATTTATTTCCCAAACCATAGTCTTAAACATCTTAAAGAGAAATATACAGAATCTGAAAAGACACTTCTCAAAAGAAGACGTTTATGCGGCCAATAAACATATGAAAAAAAAGTCACCATCAGTGGTCATTAGAGAAATGCAAATCAAAACCACAGTGGGGTACCATCTCATGCCAGTTAGAATGGTGATCATCAAAATGTCAGGAAACAAAAGATGCTGGAGAGGATGTGGAGAAATAGGAACACTTTTACACTGCTGGTGGGAGTGTTATTTAGTTACACCATTGTTGGTGGGAGTGTAATTTGTCTTACACCATTGTGGAAGACAGTGTGGTGATTCCTCAAGGATCTAGAACCAGAAATACCATTTGACCCAGCAATCCCATTACTGGGTATATACCCAAAGGATTATAAATCATTCTACTATAAAGACACATGTACACATATGTTTATTGCAGCACTATTCACAATAGCAAAGACTTGGACCAACCCAAATTCCTATCAATGATAGACTGGATAAAGAAAATGTGGCATATATACCCTATGGAATACTATACAGCCATAAAAAATATGAGTTCATGTCCTTTGCAGGGACACGGGTGAAGCTGGAAAGCATCATTCTCAGCAAACTAATACAAGAACAGAAAACCAAACACCACATGTTCTCACTTATAAGTGGGAGTTGAACAATGAGAACACATGGACACAGGGAGGGGGACATCACACACTGGGGCCTGTTGCGGGGTGGGGGGCTAGGAGGAATAGCATTAGGAGAAATACCTAATGTAGATGACGAGTTGATGGGTGCAGCAAACCACCACGCAGTTGTATACCTATGTAACAAACCTACAGGTTCTGCACATGTATCCTAGAACTTAAAGTATAATAAAGAAATATATAAAATCTGATTATTTCACCCCCTCGATATAATGGAAAGAGTACATTGTAAGTCATACATCTGAATTAAATGGAAAAATAAAATGATATAGTGCTAATAATCAGATATACAGAATTGTAGCTTTACAAAGTATAGGAGATAAGTTACTCTGAAGATTCCTTTCATTAGAAAACAGCCAGATGGACTGGTAGGCACCTGTATCGCAACTATTCAGGAGGCTGAGGTGTGAGAATTGCTTGAGCCCAGGAGTTCAAAGCTGCAGTGAGATATGATCACGCTGGTGGATAGTGACTGCACTCCAGCCTGGGCAACATAGTGAATTTTTTTTTTTTTAAAGAACAACTAGATTCTCCATAAAACAGACTATCACACTCTAATACATAACTGAGATCACAGGAAATCAGGGAGAATTCTAAACCCTCTTAACTCATTCTCTGAGCTCATGACAGAGTGGGTAGTAAGTGAAAAACTGAAAAATTGCGTATTTTTTTAGAGCAGCTTAGTGGACAGACAGTATTTTAGAATACCAGAAAGCACAAGAAATGTGTGTGTTGTTATGCAGAATTCATAAACAACTCTTTTGACTCAAGGAGGAAAAACATAGGATCATAATAAACAAACCCTTAACAGGTTGGAAACAAGAATAGCCTGTAACATATGAAGGGTCACTCAACCTTGTTAGTAATTAGGACAACCTAACTAAAATGTATAAATGCTATTTCACATAACAAGACTGACCAAGGGTTGTGATGATACGCAATAATAGGAACTTACGTACTTTGTTATTGATAGTATAAACTGGTATGGACATGTGGGGAAAAAACTTGCTCTTGTCTTACAATGTTGAACATTGAATTACTAACAACTCAGAAATTTCACATTTTATGAAGTTCTTCTTAGTGTTGTTTATATTATGAGATAGAAACTGTTATCTGTATAGTACACCAAGATAAGAATAAGGCAGTTCCTGAGTGGAAACAACATTATGATATTCTCTTATTGCTGTCACTCCCTTCCTTAGACACTGGCTACAAAAACCAATGAACTAATTCATCTGGGCATAAATTGCAAGGTTGAGATAGTGTGTCACCAATGCTATATATTATTCTGAAATTTGTATGTGGGTTTTCATGCAAAACCATTGTCTGTCACAGTAAAGTATCTTTTGTCATCACTAAGTAAAAACCTTTTCAAGTAACAGACTCAGACCACGTGCACACAATGGATGGGCTTATATTATGATAGGCTGGCTATCCTAATAAAATATTTTAAAAAGCATAAATGGTGGGAAGAGCAATAGAAATAAAGTATGTGAAGAAGGATACTTTAAAGGTGAAAAAGTATAACAATTAGAAATAACGATAAATTGAACAACAATGCAAAAGGAAATTCCCAAAATGCTTCCAAAACAAGGACAGAAAAGAAAAAAGTTAAATTCAGTTATTAAAAAATTAACCCCATTTTAAAGCCACTTGCATTTATTAGTGTTAATTACTTGTGTTAATTTTAACACAAGAAAATGGCAAACTGGTAATGCCTTCCTACTGTAATATAAAGTTACTTCAAAGAGGAACATTTTCTGAATGACACAATGAATTTATCAAGGACATGGGGCTTTTGGGAAATAGACCTACGACTGTTGGTTCTCTGATTATCTCACTGTGGGCTACTTCTGTTTTCATTATTTATTTGCGATGTGGGCACATTACCAAACTGCTTTCAGAATTGCTTAATGTGTAAATTCCTCTGAAACTTTGAACAAGAGATTTTTGACAGGTATGATTAGTAAGTAGGATTTCAAGACATTTGACTTCACTGAAAAATTTTACTGTCATGACCCCTTTAACAATCTTTTTACTTCTGGAGATGTGTTTCCAATTTGGGTTATTATTAATGACTGATGTATTCTTAAAGGAAGAGAAATAGAATATTATAGACTTATTTCACAGTAAGACAAGTCATTAAAAATAACTTTGAACTTCAAGAAGTAGTAGAAATGGGAATTTGAATTTTCAGACCAAATAGATCATGACAGAAATCAAAGTGTAGAATTACAATAAAGTAAAGAGACTGGATCATTTCAGTCTATTTTGATTTGACATTATAATTTTGTGGTTGGGAGGAAAAAGAAGGCAACTGTATTTCATCAGCTTTGAAGACTTCGTTGTCGTGAAGAAGGCTGGATAACTTCCTTATGTTGTCACTATCTTGCTTCCATCCAGAGACTGTGGAGTCTTTCTGGAACCAATATGGTTGAAAAAGCCTTTCCTTTTTAGTCAGCAGGGCTTAGTATTCACAGCCTCTGTTTTAAATACAATGTAACTTGCTTTATTACAAGGCATACTGTGACTTATAAAGCTAGAAATTCTGTTCAGGTGATTACAGATGAAAAAAATGATGAAAATTGAGAGGTTGCCAGCTCACGTTCTTTTCTTTCTCACTAAAGAGTCTGCTTCTATTTTGGTCCATTTTAAAGTTTCCTTAACTCCTCGAGTCACAGAGAAAGTAGTCATTCTTCAGTGTTGCCAGCTCCTGATTCCAGATGAGCTAATGATTCCACAGAGCTATCTCTTTGGTTCTTAACTCTGCACCTTTACTGATAGTCATTGTAGTTTAATTTTTATTATCAATGTTTATAGGGCCTTTGCGGTGTGTCAAATTTTAGGCACCCCAAAATATAATAGCGAACAAGACATTCATGGTCACTGCCTTCATGGAGCTTCTCGGCTAGACTGTGTATAAATTTTCAATCTACAGAGAATGTCTCTATGTTTAATAACAATAGAACATTTGTATTGACTCTTACCAATACATGTAAACTACTCTTTGAAAAGTACACTAAATCCCAAAGTGTCTTTTGGAAAAGGAATGTTACATTTTTAAAATTAGACCTGATAGTCCATAGTTGAATGCTAATATGATGGTCAATGACTAGGAAAAATGTTCCAATTCAAAACAATTTCAAAGTTTTCTTCAGTACCCTTGTATCATCATGACTTGGGAAAATCATCTTAGGAAGTATTGGATGTTATCTTGGAAGTTAATTTATAGAAACATGGGTGGGGCATTGTAGATCATTTAGTCCTTAAATACATTTTTGGCTGAAAGGAAATCTCTCATTAAAAGGGAAAGAAACAGAAGAAGAGAAGGAAGAAGCAAGGTAAGGTATTTGCTAGGATCACATAACTGGTTAGTGGCAGAAGTAGAAATCATTTCCTTGGACTCTTTAGTGCTTTATTACTGCCCTCTTGTAAGTTTGTTGCTTTTCCACTGACTGTTGGGTAAGAAATTATAATCCCAGAACAGTTCTTTGTATATTAAAAAAAAATCCTTTACATATTCCATAGAAACTGGGCTTGGTTTGTAAAGCTGAGGCCCAGGAGAAGCTCTTTTTCTTACCCATTTGGTCTTTAATGTTGCTTGCGAATGCATGGGGGTAGAACTCTAATAACAATGATGGACACGATGTCCTTGCACATAAACATTTGGCTCCTCACAGCATGAGATGTCTGGTCAGCCACAGAGGATAAAATAATGGCGTAAAGATTTACTGTCAGGGAGCTGGGCCAGTCTCAGCAGGACAGCGGCTCCAAGCAGATAGATGGCCTGGTATGCGTAGGTCACCTGTGTTTACACTGATGAATGTGTGTGGTTTCCCTAGTCTGCATCATTATATTGAGTTGTGTGGTGTTGGTAGCACTTGTTACTCACCCTAGAATGTGCCTTTCTATTGAAAGACAAGTAGACTAATAGCTTGGCTTCCCAGAAATAAATGAGACAATTCACATGAAAGCAATTGCAGTTAGACAAAATGACATAAATATTAAAGATTAAGAATAATATTATTTGTATCTGTAATATACAGAAATAGTCAAAAAATACTTGGGGCTGCATAATTTGTGGTTGTAGCAGTTGCTGAATTTAGTCCCATATAGTGATTTGGTTGCATAATTTAATGTTTATGTTGTATTTGTTTAATACATCACTTTCCTGAATGAAATGATTGTGGTATGAAGTTATAAGAAATAATGTCTTTGGCTTGTTATAGAAACAGTTATTTTAGGGATTTTTTGTACTTTTGAAGCAGTTTCAATTACAAGTCATTTTTCATGAGTTCTGAAGTAAGTTTTAGGCATTTGTTATGAGATCATATTATTAGCAGCTTAGATGAAAATCCAAAATGCATTTATGGATATTTTAATTGGAAAATTAAGTGGATCTTTTATAAAATTAAATACTCTGCTATAATCTCTTAGAAAAAATAAATCCCTTTTACCTAATAGGCAAGTTCATGAGAAATCTGTAATGATATCTCTCAACATAGCATGTTAACTTATAGATTATATAATTATAAATTTATAAGCCTAGTTTATACTAAGTATATTCAAGTTATAAGTCACAATACGTGAAATGAACATAATTCTCTGAATATGTCACATTTTTTAAAGATATCTGTAATCCCAGCACTTTGGGAGGCTGAGGCAGGTGGATCACCTGAGGTCAGGAGTTCAAGACCAGCCCAACCAACATGGCAAAACCCTGTCTCTACTAAAAATACAAAAAATTAGCCAGGTATGGTGGTGCACACCTGTAGTCCCAGCTACTCAGAAGGCTGAGGCAAGACAATCACTTGAACTCGGGAGACAGAGGTTGCAGTGAGTCGCGATGGCACCACTGCACTCCAGCCTTGGAGACAGAGTGAGACTCTGTCTCAAAAAAAAAAAAAAAAAAAAAGAAAGAAAAATATATCTTTATTTTCAATATTACTGTCAGTGCCTGAAATCATGCCTTGTTTTGCTTTGTCTACAAATATATTCTTTCAAAAATCATCCATAATGAATATATTTTCCATTCTAAGGTGTACTTCATTTTTGGAAACAGAAAAATGCCAATTATCATCCATGCTTGTGAATACAGTAAATAATTGATCTCCCTACATGTTACCTTTTTAAAATAAATTGAACATGAATAATGAGTCTAATATAGTACAACAGGTGTTTCTGACAAATAGTATTGGAAAATGTATTGCTATTTGATTTTCTATTTATCTGTGAAGTCCTTTTAAAGATATCCATGAAAACTCTCTCTTATGAATGTATGGCTAATTGTAAAGTAGAATCCTCATAAGACCAGTATTCTATGATTTCCTCTTGATTAAATAAAATAAAATTTAATGTGACAATGGTTTGTGTACTTTTCTTTCCTTGTCTTCTCTGAGCATCTCTCTAGAAATAGGAAAAAAAAATGGGATAGGTTTTGTTTGGGTGATTTCCACTGAAGCATAGCAAGGTCATGCTTTTGTATTGTCTATTATCAGTTATAATTTCTCAAAAACAGACAGCAAACAGGCAGTGTTCAAAAATTTGTAATTTACTATCCCGTGCTAAAGACAAACCACAGAGTAAAACCGCAACCCGGTTAACCACCAAAACAACCTTCAATCATTCTGACTGGTTCTGCATGTTTCAACGTTTATGGTCTTTTGGCTGAAGGCCAAAGTTCATCTCTTATTACCCTTTCTTTTCCATCTGTGAAGATCATTGCACACACACTCGTTCTGCATTCCAAACAATTTCACCTGGCAAAGGAACTAAGTAAAACTGTCTCTCATCTTCATTACTATTCATTTCATCTTTCAAATCACTGAATCGTGAAAATTAGAAGTAACAAAAAAAAGAAATCAGGTGTATTAAAAACAAAAATTTGAAACAGTATATCTGTGAAACCGCTCAGTGTTAGAAATTGTCACTGATCCATGTCAAATTCAGCAAACAAAACTGAGGCAATTTACTTTCACATTTTACTAAATGGCCACTTGTAAGCATACGGATGAGATTTTGTCTTTCCCCAGGCTGGATCAGTCTGTTGGTTTCCCAAACAGACAGGGGCTGAGTGGCTTAACAGGTGTGCCAATGTGAGAAAGAAACACAAAAGCAGCTGTTGTTAAAGGCGTTAGGTAGGCTTTGCCAAGACTTTACCTCTCAGATCTCTTCTGTGAATTGATGACTAAAGTATGTCAACTTTGGAAAAATATTCTTGAAATATTTTCCTTGATTTCTGACTTCAAAAGGCAAATTATAAACACCTTAATCAATTAATATTTACTACTAGAATGATTGCCCAAAAGACTGAACTAATCAAGATAGAAAACAAAAGTATTATGGCTTATTATGTCAATCTCCTATTTAAAAAGCCTCAACATTTTCTCATAGCCTTTAGAAGAAACAATTTTTTGTACATTGAGATCCCAATTCAATGCCTCTTTTTGTCCATATCTCATTGCAACTTTGACTCATATGATATCACTTTGCTGCAAACAGATTAAGCTACTAATGAAGACATGCAATTATCTTTTTGTCATCTCTCTCTCTCTGTAGCTCTCTCTGTGTGTGTGAATACATGTATACTTGCTCAACTAAAATGATCCTCACAGCCTCACATATTAAGATCTCATTTATTCTCAATTTGGGCTTGACTTCTAACAAAAACTGTTCCTTAACTAATCCACCAATAGATGGCATATTCTTCTCCTGAGCTTTCATCCTGTTTATCATTTACTTGGTATTCCAACCTACCTCTATGGCATTGCTTTACAGATCTTTAATGTGGTCTCGCATTGATATGGAAAGTTTGCTTTTGTAGATTTAACTTATCATGTGAGTCAATCAAAGATTTCCAAATAGTTGATGAACTTTATGAGAGAAAAGGCCTGGGTTTTCTTTCTTTGCCTCCCTTCAGGTACCTGGTGGAGGATGCTATTTCTAGTAGCTACTTCAAAAAACAAGTTTTCTGAGTTGCTCTCTTATTTCTTTAACCACATTGTCTCTGTCGTTCTCTGTCTCTCTGTTTCTCTCTTTCTCTCTCTATTCTTTTGCATGGACACCAAATTTTGTCTCTTAGATTTTGACCCTCTTATCTTTGAATACTGGTTTTGTTCTCTAAACTACTAGTTTTTTGCCATAACTGTTTTTTCTTTGGGATTTTGGACTGTATTTCTTAGATCTAAGGTACAGACCTCCTGCAGGGACTTCCATGAACCATATATCCATTGTAGCAATGATCTTCATTGTCAAAAAGAGTCTAATTTTAAAAGCAAAGATTTGTCAAAGAAACCTTTTAGAATGCAAAATAGCTAGGAATTTTAATTCTATTAAATATCAACAATAACAAAAAAGTGGTAACTATGATTATTTTCTTTTTGACAAAATAAGTTCATCATTAAAAAAACCAATAATGCCAAATCCTAAAAATAAATTTCAGCCTGTAAAACATACATTCAAGCATGTATAAATATATGCATGTACAATAAATATATTTAAAATAATTTTTAAATTTCTAGACTGTTGACTAGTGAGAAACTAGTGAAACTATCGAGAGTTGGGAACATTCCGTGTAAGGGGGTAATGAAGTTGAGAGTGATAATGGTACCTCTAACTTATGGCTCAGACTGAGGCTAGATTCACCAACTTTGCATAGCGTCCTCTGCATTTAGATTTTCTATTCAACATTCTTGCAATATCTTGAATGAAGGCATAGAATGGCAGCACATTAAATTTACAAACGGTAAAGATCAAAGAAGGAATAACTGAAATTATTTTGAGAGTGTGGAATTCTGAGCTAAGTTATAGTGCTGGTGTTTGAACGGAGTTTTAATATGAGTTTTGCCTGTTAGGTGATTTCTGCCAAAAAAAAAAAAAATACGAAGTTTGCATTAATGAAAGCAGAGTATTCAGCTAAAAGGAATATTCATCCTTTTCATTTTGAAGTTTGTTATTATACCATATCTGGAATGTTTTGTTTACTTCTGCATGGACATTTTAAAAAAACATTGAAACAGGAGACAATGGCATGAAAAGGATGATCAGAAAGATGAAACATTTGGAATTGATGCTTTATGAGGGACATTGAATATACTGGAAGTATGTAGTCTAAAGCAGAGAAGGCTAAAGGGAGATATGATGCAAATTCATGAGAAATGTTCATACCTAATATTTATGAGTCAAATGCTAAGTATAATTCTCATGACTGATCCAGTGATGAGGTAAGTGTGTGGACACAGAAAACTGTCACAATGCACAGTGTGAAAAGAATAACAGTAGTTCTTACGTCAGGGTACAAGTCGAGAAAACGAATGCCTCTATGGATTACAGGTGGAGAGAAATGTGATCTAGGGAAAAGGGGAAAGGTGGTATTAGGCAGAGATTAGAAGGTGCTGTAGTTTTTGAGCTGGAGCCTAGAACCCCACACTCTCTCAGCCTCTGAGCTGCAGCCACCTCCCCTGCAGCTACTGGAGACACCGCAGCCACTAAGGCTGCAGGACCTCCTGCTACTGACCGTGGGTACTTCTGGTGGCTGCTGCCAGAAACCCAATCCCTTGTTTATTCTCTGGGTTTCAATTTTACCCCCAAACCTGATGAAATACCGTTGGCAAGGGAGTCTTAGAAATTTTAGTTTTCTTATTCTCAGTGATTAAAGAAAAGGGCGCAGAGAAGATTATGGGAATGTTAGAAGGTTAGTTAGTTACCATCTAGCACAAATGGGATTAAGTGTTAGAGGTCTAGGCAGGATATATAGAGATAACCAATTTAAATGGTCAAGGAAGGTTAATATCTATAAGTACTTTCAGGCCTGCCTTTGGAAAGGCAGAGTGGAGTTCTGTGTTGCTCCAGAGAGCAATAGATGATAGAAGTTATTAGGAGATGAAATTTAGGTATTTGTGAAAAATAACTTCCTCATAACTAGAGCTCATGGCAAAAATGTCCTGCTATTTTAATATGTTGGGTGTTTGAGCAAAAGTTTAATTCTATTTTTTTCAGGGATTCTCTAGAAGAGCTTCTCATAGTAGGCAGTAGATGGTTTAGTTGGCAGCTAATGTTCCTTAAAAATTTACAATTTTATGATTCCCAAACCACTCATCTAAAAATAACAAAATGTGTTTAAAGAGTAGATTAGTTAATCACAAAACATAAAAGGTAACTAGCCAAAAGAATTAAATATATTCATCACGTCTTAATAACTTTGAGGAAAATGAGTACATGAGGTGGGAAACGAACATTAAAGGAGTTTCTTATCAGCCCTTTTCAGGATTCCAAACTTTTCTTATAAATATCCATCAGTGCTCCAATTAAGCCTTTGGAGTGATATGCAAGAACTCCATAGTGGGGAGGGAAAAGTGCCTCCTTCCACACAGATGTTGGCACAGTGCTGAAGGATGGCGGCTGGCCAGCCTGCTTTACAAGTGAGGGCCAGGAGCAGCATCTGCATATGAGAGCAGATTATCCCATTGGCAAACTCCATTAACACTGCCAAGGGCACGGTTATGCTGTTAGTGACTAAGAAGTCATCCCTTTCACCTGAACATACCTCTGGTAATTTAGGGTAATAAAGAGGATGCCTTTCTTTTATATGCAAGAGAAATAAAGACTTGAATGGTAATAAGGGAGGGCAATACATATTCATTTATTATGTAAGTAAGAAAATTCACTGGTAAATAATCTCATAATATCTAATGATTGGATGATATCTAAGCAGTATGTCGATGATATCTAGTTTATCCACCATTGAATCCCTTATAAAACAGACCAGTCAGCTGGTACCCAGTGGTCTTACATACAGTCAAAGATGGGAAGCTCAGGATCCCCACATGCAGCCAACTGGAAGATGGGATAGCAAAGTCAGAAAGACCTGAGTTCAAATCTTCACTATGTTGGTCATTAACTATATAAACTTAAGTATTTTATATCATCGAGCTAAATTTCAGTGTGTATACCTTTAAGATAGTAATGTGTACTTCAAATTGTTGTTACAAAATTAAAAGAGGTAATGTGTATAACAGCTATCTCAATAAATAGCAGATGTTTTAATTCCAATGTGCCTACTTCACACTGTTGTTACAAAATTAAAAGAGATAATGCGTATAACACTATCTCAATAAATGGGAGGTGTTATTCTATCTTTCAGATGTCTCTAATGGTTAGAAACGCTTTATATTAAACTGATTTTTTTCTCTATAATTTAAGCCTGCTAATCCTCATTATGACTTAAGGGCTTCTTAAAACAAATGTTATATCTTTTATCTTTTACTGAAAGTCTTTCACATATTTGAAAATAAGAATCGTTAACTTCACTCATCATTTCTTTTATGGACTGAACACACCCAGTCCCTCAACCTTTCCTTGTATTCCGTGGCTCTTAGCCACCTCACCATAGCAAGAAGTGAGGCGGGGAATGTGGAAGGATTGTGATTAAGTGGTTGAAGTGCAGAGATAAGGATGGGAAATGCAGGGTAAAAAGCACTGGAACAGGCCCAGCTTTGTTTTTTGGCCAAAAGATTCAGCAGCTCTGATCGGCTTACTGATATTCACACGGTGCTGAGGTTGGCATTTTTCCAGAGGCATTAAGCATCATTCCACTCACGGTTGACAGTTTCCAGAAAGGTTTCTCCCAAAAACACACTCTCCTTTGATTTCTTCCTGAAAATCATGTATCTGGTACTTTATCATTTTAGCTCATATATCCACAGGCAGCCCTGGGTGAAACCACACTTTCACTAATTTTAATCATCTATACTTAAGGGCTTTTAGGTTTTTTTTTTAATTGGGTTCATTAAATCATACTTTAATGCATTGAAATTCACCATTTTCATGTGTACGGTTCTACGAATTTTGGCAAAGGTATGCAGTCATGTAACCACTGCCCCCAAAAGGACCCCCATGCTCCGATGTAATCAATATTCTCCCCCAATCCTTAACCCCTGGTCACCACTGTTTTGCTTTCTGTCTCTGTAGTTGGACCTTTTCTAGAATGTCACATAAATGAAACTATATAGTTTGTACCCATGCTATTTCTGCTTCTTTCATTTAATATGATGCTCTTGAGACTGTAAGTTGTATAGCATGTATCAGTAGTTCCCTTTTTTGCAGAGAATTTTTCCATTGTATCATAATTTATGTATGTGCCAGAGTTGTTTGCTTATCCACTCACTAGGGGATGAACATTGGAGAGTTTTTCTTTTTCTTTCTTTCTTTCTTTCTTTTTTTTTTTTAAATAAAGCTGCAATAAGCTTCCATGTACAGATCATTGTGTAGGCACATGTATTCATTATTGTTGGGTAACAATGTTGGAGTAAATGGCTGGGTAGGATGGTATATGTTCATTTTTGTATGTTTAATTTTATGAGAAAATAACAAACATGGTTATACCATTTTGCATTTCTAGCCAAAAAATATAAAAGTTTTAGCTGCTTTGCATATTTGTCAGCAATTGGTATTGTCTCTTTTAAATACAGCCATTTTCATAGGTGTAGTGTTTTTTTAATGTAGTTTTAAACTGTAATTCACTCATGGTCAATGATGCCGAACATTTTTCATGTGTGTGTTTGCCATCCTTATCTGCCATCCTTATCTTTTCTTTGGGGAAGACAGTTCAGTTCGTTTTCTCTCCTTTTTTTTTTTTAGACGGAGTCTTGCTCTTTGTCACCCGGGCTGGAGTGCAATGGCACGACCTGGGCTCATTGAAACCTCCACCTCCCGGGTTCAAGCGATTCTCTTGCCTTCGCCACCCGAGTAGCTGGAATTATAGGCGCCCGCCACCACGCCTGGCTAGTTTTTCTATTTTTAGCAGAGATGAGGTTTTACCATATTGGCCAGGCTGGCCTCCACTCCGGACCTCAGTTGATCCGCCCACCTCGGCCTCCCAAAGTGTTCAGATTGCAGGCGTCAGCCACTGCACCCAGCCCAGTTTGTTTTGTTTTGTTTTGTTTATTGGTTTGTTTTCTATTATTGAGTTCATTATATTCATTATACATAATTTGCACACCAGTCCTTAATTATATAGGTTTTTTTGCAAATATTTTCCCCACACTGTGGTTTATTTTTTATATTTTAACAGGGTCTTTCAAATAGAATGTTTTAATTTTTATTTATCAGTGTTTTTCCTGACCAGTTTGTATTTTTTATGCCATATAAAATATCTTTGTGTAAAAGATGTCACAAATATTTTCTCCTCCATTTTCTTTGATAATTTTTGTAGTTACATATTTTACATTTAGGTCTATGATTCATTTTAAGTTGGTTGAGTCTTTTTCTGCATATGCATATGTAATTGAACATTTTTTTAAATACCATATTTTCTCCTTTTAATTGCCTTAGTGCCTTCATGAGAAATCAACTGACCTTATATTTGCGAGTCTGTATCCAGACACTCTAGTCTATTATTTCCTTTGTCTATATTTATGTCCTTTTGCAAACACCAAATTGTCTTCATTGCATAACATTAGAATAACTACAGAAATCAGAGCCGGGTGCAGTGGCTTATGCCTGGAATTCCAGCACTTTGGAAGGCTAAGGCGGGCGGATCACCTGAGGTCAGGAGTTCGAGACCAGCCTGGCCAATATGGTGAAATCCCATCTTTAATAAAAATACAAATAATAGCCGGCTGTGGTGGTGCATGCCTGTAACCACAGCTACTTGGGTGGCTGAGGCAGGAGAATCACTTAAACCCGGGAGGCAGAGGTTGCAGTGAGCCAAGATCAGCCATTGCACCTCAGCCTGGGCAACAAGAGTGAAACTCCATCTCAAAAAAAAAAAAAAAAAAAAAGAAAGAAAGAAAAAGAAAGGAAAAAAAAAGAAATCAGTTAATGTGAGTCCTCCTTAGTTGTTTCACTTTCTCATTTTTTTTTTAATTCCATTCTAGATCCCTTGCTTTTCCATATAACCTTTAGAATAGCTGGATCATATTTGAGATTGCATTGAATGTATAATTCAGTTTGGAGGATAATTGACAATCTAACAATATTGAGTCTTCCCAAATATCGGTCTATTATATAGCTCCATTTATTTAGGCCTTTTAAATTTATCTCTTTTATGTTTTGCATTTTTAAGCCCACATATTTTGTATATATTTTCTTCGCTTTAATTTTTGTTTGTATTTTAAACTGTACTTTTTCCCTCATTTGATCATGAATTGTTATTTCTAATATAAAGAAACATAATGGAATACTTTTTGTATCCTATGACCTTGGTATACTCACTAGTTTTAGCAGCTTTTCTGTAAAGTGTTTGGGATTTTCTATATACGCCACCATGTCTACTGTGAATAAAGAAAATTTTATGTTTGCTCCTTTCCAATCTATATGCCCCAATTTTTTATTTATTCATTTATTTATTTATTTTTGTAGAGTTATTACATTGATTAGGACCTCTAGGTGAATGTGGTAAAAGCAAGCCTCCCTGCTTTCTTCCCAGTCTTAGGGGAAAAACGTTCAGTCTTTTCCCAGTAAGTATGTTACCTGCAGGCTTTTGTAGATACTGTTTATCAGGTTGAAGAAGTTCTTTTCTATTACCAGTTTGCTAGGGTTTTTATTATAAGTGACTATTGAATTCTGTTAAATCATTTTTATCATGCGTAAAGATGAGCATATACTTTCTCTTCTTAGTTTGTTGTTACAATAAATTCCTTTTTTTTTTTTTTTTTTTTTTTTGGCACAGTCTCACTCTGTCGCCCAGGTTGGTGTGCAGTGGCATGATCTCGGGTCACTGCAACCTCCGCCTCCGGAGTTCAAGTGATTCTCGTGCCTCATCTTCCCGAGCAGCTAGGACTACAGGCACGTGCCACCATGCCGGGCTAATTTTGTATTTTCAGTAGGGATGGGTTTTTGCCATGTTGGCCAGACTGGTCTCAATCTCCTGACCTTAAACAATCTGCCCATCTCAGCCTCCCAAAGTGCTGGGATTACCGGCGTGACCCACCATGCCCAGCCCCATGGATTGGTTTTTGAATATAAAATCAACACTGCATTCCGGACAAAACTCCACTTGGTATGATACACTAAATGTTTTATATATTGCTGGATGTGATATGTAAGGATTTTTGTATTCATATTCATGAAATATATTGATCTGTAGTTTTCTTTAACATAATTTCTCCACAAGGTTTTCTATGTACTAATGGTGGCTCATAAAATGAATTGGAAATTCTTTTTCTTTATTGTTAGCAAGATTGTTTAGAGGTAGTAATATTTCTTCCTTCAGTGTTGGAAAAAATTCACTATTGAAGTCATTTGAACCTCAAGTTTACTTTTTTGCAAGAAGTTAAACCAATAATTTATTTTTTTAAATAGATATAGGACTATTTAGGCTGTTTCTTCTTCAGTAAATATTAGTTTGTATCTTTGCATGTGTCGACTTCATCCAAGTTGTTGAATTTGGGGAGCATAAATTGGTTAATAGTACTCTCTTGTTATCCTTTTTGTTTTGTTTTGTTTTGTTTGAGATGGAGTCTTGCTCTCGCCCAGCTGGAGTGCAGTGGTCAGATGTTGGCTCACTGCAACTTCTACCTCCCAGGTTCAAGCGCTTCTCGTGCCTTAGCCTTCCGAGTAGCTGGGATTACAGGCACCCACCACAATACCCGGCTGATTTTTGGATTTTTAGTAGCGACGGGGTTTCACCATGTGGGCCAGGCTGGTCTTGAACTCCTGACCTCAGGTGATCTGCCCATCTTGGCCTCCCAAAATGTTGGGATTACAGGCGTGAGCCACCGCGCCCGGCGTCTTGCTATCCTGACATTTATCATTCCTTTCTCTCTCTTTCTGTCAGTAATCTGGATAACGATTTATTACTATTATTGATTGTTACAAAGAATCAGCTTTAAGTTTCACTTATTTTCTCTATTATTTTAATCTGTTTTCAAGTTATAATTTCCCTGTGACTATGTCTTTGACCCTTGGGTAATTTAGAAGTCTGTTCTGTAATTTTTTGTTTTGTTTGTTTTTCATGTTTGGGGTTTTTAAGATACATTTCGGCTGGGTGCAGTGGCTCATGCCTGTAATCCCAGCACTTTGGGAGGCTGAGGCGGGTGGATCACCTGAGGTCTGGAGTTCAGGACCAGTCTGGCCAACATGGTGAAACCCCATCTCTACTAAAAATACAAAATTAGCCAAATGTGGTGGCGCATGCCTGTAGTCCCAGCTACTCGGGAGGCTGAGACAGGAGAATCGCTTAAACCCAGGAGGCGGAGGTGGCAGTGAGCCGAGACTGTGCCATTGCACTCCAGCCTGGGCTATGGAGTGAGACTCTGTCTCATTAAAAAAAAAAAAAAATACATTTTGTAACTGATTTCTATTTTTAATTTTATAACACTTTTAAAATTATATTGTCTTAAACTGACATAAAAATATTTATGTATAATATGTAAATTATTACAAAGTGATGCTTCAGTACATATACTGTATATTAATCAGAATGGGATAATTAGCATACCCATCATCTCAAACCTTTGTCATTACATTATGTTGGGAACATTCAATATCCCCCTTTTAGCTATTTGAAACTATAAAGTATATGATTATTAACTATAATCATCCTAAAGTGGTATAGAACACTAGAACTTATTCTTCTCATCTAGCAGTAATATTGTATCCTTTGATAAATCTCTCCCTCTCTCTCCCTGTTCCCTACCCTTTCCAGCCTCTAGTGTCTTCTATTATACTTTTTACTTTTATGAGGTCGGCTATTTTTAGCATCCATATTTGAGTGAGAATATGTAGTGTTTAAGGATCCTGTTCCTGGCTTATGTCACTTAACATAGTATCTATTAGTTCTATATACGTTGCCACAAATGACAGAATTTCACTGTTTGTTTATGGCTAAATAGTATTCTGTTGTGTATATACACCACATTTTCTTTATCCATTCTTCTCTTATTGGACGCCTAAGTTGATTCCGTATCTTGGCCATTGTGAATAGTGCTGCAATAGACATAGAGATGCAGATGTCTTTTTGATATACTCATTTCATCTCCTTTGGGTAAATGCCAAGTAGTGGGATTGCTGGATCATATTATAGTTCTATTTGTAATTTTTGAGGAACCTCTATACTCTTCTCCACTTTGGCTGAACTAGTTTACATTCCCACCAACAGTGTATATGAGTTCTGTTTTCTCCACATCCTTTCAAGCATTGGTTACGTTTTGTCTTTTTGATAATAGCCATCCTAACTGGGGTCAGATGCTATCACATTGTGGTTTTAATTTGTATTTCCCTGAGGACTAGTGGTGTTGAGCATTTTTCATTTGTTGCATATACATGTCTTCTTTTGAGAAACATCAGTTCAGATCATTTGCCCATTTTTTAATCAAGTTGTTTTGCTGTTTAGATGTTTGAGTTTTTTGTGTATTCTAGATGTGAATCCCTTGTCAGATGTAGAGTTTGCAAATATTTTATCTCATTCTGTAGGTTGTCTTTCAGTCTGATTGTTTCTTTTGCTGTGCAGAAGCTTTTTAGTTTGATATGATACCATTTGTTTATTTTTGCTTTTGTTGTTGTACTTTTGAGGAACTTTTTGTTACTCATAAAATATTTTCCAGACCAGTGTCTTGAAGAATTTATGCTCTTTGCCTCCAGAGATCTTATAATTTCAGGTCTTATATCTTGGTCTTTGTTCTATTTTGAGTTGAGCTTTGTATGTGGTGAGAGGTGGGGGATTAGTTACTTTCTGCAGGAGATACTCAGTTATCCCAGTACCATTTATTGAAGAGCCTGTCCTTTCCTCAATTAGTGTTTTCAGTACATTTGTCAAAAAATCAATTGGCTGTAGATACACAGATTAGTTTTTGCATTCTGTATTTTGTTCCATTAGCCTATAGATGTTTCTATGCCAGTACCATGCTGTTTTGGTTACTATGGCTTTGTAGTATATTTTTAAATCTGGTAATATGATGCTTCCATATTTATTTTGTTCAGGATTTATTTGGCTATTTGGGTCTTTTGTGGTTTCATACAAATTTTAGGATTTTTTTTCTATTTCTGTGGAGTGTCGTTTGTATTTTTATAGAGAAGGCATTCACTCCACAGATTCTTTTCGATAGTATGGCCATTTTAACAATGTTAATTCTTCTGATACATGAGTATGATGTATCTTTCTGTTCATTTGTATCCTCTTCAGTTTTTTCATCAGTGTTTTGCAGTTTTCCTTTTAAAGGTTTTGTACCTCCTTGGATAAATTCACTTTTAGGTTTCCTCTTTTTTTTTTTGTACACTATTATAAATTGGACTGTCTTCTTGATCTCTTTTTTTTAGTTTGTTGCTTGTGTATAGAAATGCTATGGATTTTCGTGTGTCGATTTTTTATTCTGCAATTTTACTGAATTGGTTTATCAGCTCTAAGAGTTTTTCAGTAGAATCTTTAGGTTTTTCTATATATAGGATCATGTCATCTGCAGACAGGAACAATTTCACTTCATTCATTTGAATGTGGATGCCCTTTAATTTTCATTTCCCAATTGCTCTGGCTGGGACTTCTAGTTCTATATTGAGTGCAAGTGGTGAGTGTTAGCATCTTTGTCTTTTTTCCAGTTCTGAGAGGAAAAGATTTTAGCTTTTGCTTCTTTGGTGTGATGTTAATTGTGTGTTTGTAATATGTGCCTTTTATTATTTTGAGGTAATTTCCTTCTACACCTATTTTATTGAGATTTTTAATATAATGGCATATTACATTGTATTAAATGTTTTTTCTGAATCTATCAAAATGATTGTATTTTTGTCTTTAATTATATTGATTTAATGTATGATGTTTATTGATTTGTGTATATTAAACCATCCTCACATTCCTGGCATAAATGCCACTTGATTATGTTGTATTATCTTTGTGATCTGTGCTGGATTTAGCTTGCTAGTATTTTCTTGAAGATTTTGCATCTGTATTTGTCAGAGGTATTGGCCTGTAATTTTCCTGTGTGTGTGTGTGTGTGTGTGTGTGTGTGTGTGTGTGTGTGTGTCCTTATCTGGTTTTGTTATTAGATTTAGACTGGGCTTGCAGAATGAGTTTGGAAGAATTCCCTCGGCTTCAATTTTTTGAAATAGTTTGAGAATGATTTGTATTAATTCTCCTTCATAGATTGAATAGAATCCAGTGATGAAGCCATCCAGTTAAGTACTTTTCTTTTTTGTGAGACTTTTTATTACTGATTCAATCATGTTACTTATTATTGGTCTATTCAGGTTTTCTCCTTCTTCCTGGTCCAATCTTGGTAAGTTATGTGTCTAAGAATTTATCCACATCCTCTAGGTTTTCAACTAGGTTTTCAGTTGGTGTATAGTTGTTCATAGTAGTCTCTAGTGATCCTTTGTATTATGTGGTATTTGTTATGATGCCTCCTTTTTCATTTATGATTTTTATTTGGGTTTTCTTTCTCACTTTATTGCTAGTTAGCCCATATTGTATGATTTCAATCATTTTAATTCTTTTCAAATTCATTTTTTGTCTCAGAATATGGTCTATGTTGTTAAATATTTCATGTGTACCTGAAAGTATATTTTTCTGTTCCTGCATATTCTATAAATATCAAATAAATGGATACAATAATACTTTCCTGATAATATATTTTGAATGATTCAGGAAAACTTAAGAAACGTAAGGGTTAATTATGCCACTAATTAAAAAATTCAGAAACTTTATGACAACTTTCATCTCTCATAGCCACTTTGACTGCACAGTGGCTTTGTTCTCAAAGCCTTGAAATTGAGTTATTGGGATGTAGTAGAAGCAGTTTGAAGAACAGGCAGTAAGCCCACCTTCTCCATTAGTATGTTCTATTTACTTTGACATGGAGATTTTGCAGTAGTTTGACACAAATCTGAATAGAAACCTATTTAATTTCAGACTTCTTTACCCACTCTTAGAATTTTTCTTTTGATAGCAGATAAGGATTAAGTAATATACACAGGAGACAGTCTAAGAAGCATATTTATTTAAATATAACTTTGTTATAACATCAATTGCGTGTAACCAATCTCATGCCAAAAACAAATGCAAAAATTCTGTTGCTTAGGATTTTACTTTATGTGTTTTAAGTATATATTGAAATGTACTTCAGAACATGTGCTTTTTAAAATTTATCCAACTTTGGTAATTTTGGTTTTTGAACATCCCGTAGATACCTAAAGGACTCCTTTGGAGCAGCAGTGCTATATGGATCACACTTCAAAAGTGTAATTCTGGGGCAGCAATATGAAGGTCAAAACATCTCCCTCCAACTAGGAACTGGATATTTAAAAGAGGTTAAGGAAATTTGATGCACTGTATTAAAAATTGTTTCAACCTTTTTTTAAACTTTAGTGTAAGTACTACAACATTTTACTAAGCAAATTTGGAGTTCTAATTTAACCGTTTTTTCATGTTCTTTATCTTAGATTCTGAGGACAAAAAGCAATGAACACAGCTTTTTAGTAGCTATTTCCTTTCAAACTCTCTGGAGAGCAATCAAATTTTGTAATCTGTAAAAGAACATACATTAATGTTTTGTTCAAAGAGAATTCAATCTATAATAGGCCTTTTAAAGAAATATGTATAAAGGCCCGCTGTCTGTCCTTTTTGATATTTTAGTGTATGTATTTGTTCAGTGTAGTTTTGTTTCTTTTTAAGAAGCTAATATTTTAGGAAGAACCAGATACTACTAGGCCAAGTACATTCTTTTTGTGTAACTAGAAATTTCAGGTCTTTTAGTTTTCCCCAGGCAACATCTGCTAAGAACATAGCATTAGTTACATACTGCTTGGACCAACCCCATCTTTGAATATCACTTGTAGACATAGTCACCTAAAGAAGCAACTAAACGTTGACCTAGGGGTCCACTTTGGCAATTTTGCCTGCACCTCATTCCAGCGTATGCCATGGACTTTTTTTCTGTTTATGAAGAACGTAGCCAGAGATAGTCCTAAAATAGAAGCTAAGGGAAAAAAACAAAACTCTCACTTCTAGATGTGCGAACTCTAGCAAAAAAAAAGTTTTAAAATTCTGCCCTGTTTATAGTCTTATAGACAGACTCGGATTAAAAAATATACTTTAACTGCTTTATTTCATAATAAAACAGAGACTTTTCCACAAACTTGGGAAGTGAATAGAAGCAATCCACTTTAATGTATTCCTCAGAATGAGTATATTCTCACGTCTCAACTTAACAGGATATTCCACATGTCTATGTTGATCCCATCACTCTCAATTACACAAGGAGACCAGTACTGCCACAATTCCAAGCCAGAGGGAGCAGTCCATCTTTCACAGCCAAGGGAAGGACTGGAGTGAGAGGACCATTCTCACTATAGTCATAGCTAGCCACTCCCACACTGGCAACTGAGGCTTTGCTCCGCCCAGTCTGGTAGACTACACTTTTCTATTCCTAAGATCCCTGTCTTATTCATGTACAAGAGTTTTGAGAGAAGGCAACCCCATTCCCTTAATATTAAGTTTAATTATACAGTTTCCACCTGTTCACTTCAATAGTGGTAATTCTTAGGACCTAGCACTCCCAGTTTATAAACACAACGAACTTCAAAGGTGCCATCCAGCTCCTCAAATTCTTGACCAGGACAGCTTATCTCAGAGTTAGAAAACTCCCAACCCTTCTCTCTAGAAATGTCTTCATTACATTAAGAGACTTTTCTTCTTAAACTGTAAAAACAAAACAAAAGTAACTGATTAGTATCCTCTTTCTCTAGACAGTGAAGTCATTAGTCTACTCCTGGAGGCCACCATGAGTTACATAGGAGGTTTCCCAAGACCCATCACCTGTGTGAAGGTCTATATACCTAGACTTTGGAAAGGAATGAAAATAAGAGGCAAGCTACTTTTAGTCTCTGTCTTTGCTATCATACTCTTCCTTTAAACTATTTCTCTCTATCCCACCTCTGTCTCTTTCTTTTTCTGTCTCCCTGTTTCTCTCTTTTTTTGTCACTCACACACACACACACACACACACGGACACACATATACAAAAGCAACCCTGTAAAAATCACTGCTTGTGTAAAGCCTAAACCATAATTGGGGTTAGAATTTGGAGCTCCACTAGTTACGCAGAGAATGATTTCTGTGGGTTCTTAACTTTCTAAGCTTCAAATTTCCCATACATAAAAGTGATAGTCTAATAATTGTGAACTCAAAAATTTTGTGATAAATAAGTTAAATAATTCCTATACAGCCTTCAGGACAATGCCTAAACCAGAATAAAAATAAAGATAATGATAATTTAGCCTTATATTTCTCCTTCCATTTTAGTCAAAATATTTTTACCAATCCACAGATACAGTATTCTCTTTCTTTTCTTTTCTTTTTTTTATTTTGTTTTTATTTTTATTTTTTTTTGATGGAGTCTAACTCTGTCACCCAGACTGAAGTGCAATGTTGTGATCTCAGATCACTGCAACCTCCGCCGCCTGGGTTCAAGCGATTCTCCTGCTTCAGCCTCCCGAGTAGTTGGGATTACAGGTGCCTGCCACTGCACCCAAATAATTTTTGTATTTTTAGTAGAGACGGGGTTTCACCATCTTGGCCAGGCTGGTCTTGAACTCCTGACCTCATGATCTACCCACCTCGGCCTCCCAAAGTGCTGGGATTACAGGCATGAGCCACTACACCCGGCTAGTAGTATTCTCATTTTATCTGAGGTTATCTCCACATTGCACACACCCATCAGAGATGCTCTCTCTCATCCTGGTGAAACATAACCATTCCAAAACGCAGTGACCGTTCACTCTTCAGCAAATCTTTCTTAGTTGAAATAGCCCTCACTGCTTCCCTTTTTCTCTTATTCTTACACACATCTCAAAATCAGTTCTCTATTAGTTCCAGGAGTTGTTTCCTTGTCCTTCGAGTAATTCTACATAGACAATCATGTTATCTGTGAACAAAGACACAGCTCCAAGGGTGAGAACGGGAGCTTTAAAATTTCTTAAAGCTCATGCCTATAGAAGTCATTCAGTGCCATCTCTGCATCTGCATGCATTCTCTTGGCCAAAACAAGTCATAGGACCAGTGTAGATTAAAGATGTGAGACTGCGGGAGAGGAGAAACACGGCAAAGTCACATCACAAAAAACCACTTGGAATGGGAACACGGGTTATCCTCCTTTTTGAAAACAAACTGTGTCACTAATATTGTCAGTCTTATTATTACACTCAAATGGATTACAAGATCCCTAAGAGTAAAAAGCCATAGTTTTAGTATTTCTCAAATAGGTACAATGCACTGTAATGTTGGAATGTGTCTTTAGAAAGATAAAATAACCAAACAATCATAACACATTATTCTCAAAACTTATTTTATATTTTTGTTTTAATGTGTACAATTGCAATCTCATATTTGTGTTAGAATCATTTGTTTTTGTGTCTTCATGTTTCTATAAGATAGGACCAATATTCTTTATTGGGCTTTGATTTTATTTTGTAACTTAAATGTATTAAGGCAATAAATGTAATTTTCCACTTAAAACTATCATTATAGATTTGGTTACTACCTACTGCTCAGCAATTTTTTTTCTTATCAAAATTCTTCCTGGTTGGTTTACTTCTCATTTTTTTTCCATTAAATGATATAAATTTTAAGATAGTAGTTTTTCTTGTTACATTAGTTCAGAATCATAGATTCATGCATAATAGCTTTGATATTCAAATAACCTTCATTGGTCTTGATACTTTTATAATTTTCATTTCAGAATCCCTTATTGCCTTCCATTGAATTCTTCTGGTTTGTGTTATAACATTTCCTGTAATTTGTAAGCAATCCATTCTGTTTTCAAAATCACTTGTGTGTAAATTTTTCTCATTACCATGTTCATTTCAGTTTTAACTAAAGTTCACTCATAATATGTCATACATAAAGAAACACTTAAAATATATTAGAACTATTTACATTCTATATATAATAGTTATGCCAGAAACGAAACAGAAATGTTGAATTAAGTTTAGCCTAAAGATGCTGTCTTATGTGTTTTAAGTTTGGCCTAAAGGTTTTTCCATACATAGTGAACTGTAACCTAACTGGATGTGTAAACAGAGTATAGCCTACTCTTGTAACAAGTAGCCAAGTCTCATCCCATTACGACAACCATACTTCAATCACACACAGGGTCCACCTGTTCAAACTGTGTTTGAATAAGCCAGACACCAGCTGTAACCAATCTGGCTGTTTCTGTGCCTCACTTCCGTTTTCTCTATGTAGCTTTCCTTTGTCCATACATCCTTTCCAAACCTGCAGTGGAGCACCATGCTCAGCTAATTCTTAATTTTTTTTTCTAGAGATAGAGGTCTTGCTGATTTGCCCAGGCTGGTCTCAAAGTAGTGGCTTCAAGAGATCTTCCCACCCCAGCCTCCCAAAGTGCTGGGGTTATAGGCATGAGCCATTGCACCTGCTGGAGCACTAATTTCTAAACAAACAAACCCAAGATCAAATTAGCCAGTCAGAGTGTGTCCTACTTACATTCTGTACATAACCCTACTAAAACCTTTATGTACTTACTGTTATGAATACTTTTAGTTCGTCCCTGGCAGAGGTGCTAAATTTCATTCCCTGATATTTAGCATGATGTCACCAAATCGTAGTTGTTTAATAAACATTTGCGTAATGAAAGACTGACTGAATGAATGCATGAAGTAACTATCAGCTACAACTACTAAACTAACATGACCAAGATTCAAAGGAAACTTTCTAAAATCTTCAAAAATCTAAGTTCTAGTGCTCTTTCAAGACCTCAGAACTGCCTTAGAGAGTTTAATGGAAATAACATACATAGGAGTATGGGGAAAAGTGCTATTTACTTAGCAACTATGTGTCAGACATTTTATAAGTAGTGTCTTACGTACTTTCTTAGTAATATTTTGAAGTATTAGTAGATAGCATTTATCTAATTTTAGAAATAAGAAAATGGAGGTGGGCTAATAAGTTGTTTAAGATTCCAAACATTCTGTAGTAAAACCAGTATTGATCCTAATTTGATGGACTTTAAACCTGCTGAGCCTCTGTCTGGTGGAGGAAAAAAAAAATTAAAAAAAAAAGCATTTTTCTTCCTTCTTAGGTTCAGTGGCTGAGGCCTGTGAATTATACTGACAAAAGAGAGATTATCAAGAATAAATATTTATTTGATGTGTAGGGGCTGGGGAGGAACAGGGGCAGCTCACATAAAAGCAAGGAATACCCCAAAGAGGCAGTTGGACCCGGGCCCTGTATCCCATTTTAACAAAGTGTGATAAAGTGTGGGGAAGAGACTAGATAAAGAAAAGGAGGGTTTAATCCCTGGGTGGCCGGAGTAGGTTGTGGGAAAATGACTAGGAAATGTGTAGTAAATAAGGGCTATTTAGTAAGGTTTGTTATGCAACCTTAAGGCATCTCAGGTGGTGACTTATTCACTTCTCCCTGATATAAGAAAGTAGGACACCTTTACAGGTATAAGTTTCCTTTACAACCAGAAAATTCATGCCTTGCTGAAGACAGTTCATCTTGTGTTTGCTATTTCTAATTGCCTTCAGCTTAAAATACTCCTTATGCTAAAGTGGCATATTTTGGGGTAGCATATTCTGATCTCTTTCACCCCAACCAACAAGACTGTGGCTGTTGGCAGGCAAACATTACATCTTATTTATTTACACTTCTCTGATGTCTGTAACAGTGCATAGCACAGAGTAGGTATCCAGTAGATGTTTGAGAAAAAAAAAATAATAAATGGGATAATTAACATTTTTGGCTTCTAGGAGATTATTTTCATTCCAAATTGGCCTTCTCCCGCTGTTTTTTCCCCTCATACTGGTGACATACCCTCCTGTTTGGTCAGAAAGAATTCTGATCTTGGATCATCTGAAATACATTTACTAAAAAAACCTGATATGTATTTACATATTGAAAGCACATCTGACTTAACATTTAGGAGCATGGGCTAGCAATCTTACTAGTTTCAAGCCTTGGCTCCACCAAGTGACTTGCTCTATGACCTTAGGTTTCATAGCCTCTTAAGTCTCAGCTATTTTATTTTAAATGATGGGCAAGGCTTTTTGCTGTTTGGTTTACTTATAAGTCCTGAGTGCCTGAAACAAAATAAGTATTCAGTATGTTTGGTTGAATAAGTGAATGCCATGTAGTACCTATTTTGGTTGTCATTGGCTTTAAAGAGGTGAATATACTTTAAGTGGTTCAAGAGCTCCCACACCATAGGAGCTTAATAAATGTTAGCCATTTTATTATGTAAGTATAACCCTTCACACACTTTCACTAGTCATTTGTTATAACATTGACTTTTTCAAAAGTTCTGTGGAAATGAGTTATAAGACTATCCATTGTTGAAGGCAATGTTCTTAGTTGTATTCATTGTTATCAATTTAGTCATTAAAAAACATTTGCTTTCCTTATCAATACATATGCTTCATTTTATTAGTAAGTAGAATTTCATAACCCATCCTGTTTTCCATTTCTCTTGCATACTAGGAAACACAAAGTGAAATTTGGTTCTCGAGCTAGTTCAGTCACATAATGTTGTTGGTAAAATTATCTATAACATTTGGATTCTTTTGGATATAAATTTGCCCTTGATAGGCTAAGCTATATTATATTTTCTATAATCTTGTGTTCTATAATATTCTAAAATATCGTTCTGTAATTATTTTATGAGAAACATTCTTCATAAATATGAAATGTATATCATAAATCAGTTTGTTTATGATATACATGTTTTTCATGTAATTTAATGATTTAATTGTAATTATCAATAAATATGCGAAATCTAAACATTCATTGGCAAATATAGTAGAAACTATAATGAATTGGCTATAGTGTTTCTCATGTTAGACATTGTTGACCTAAAAAGAAGAAACTGAGGTGAAATTAATGGAGTGTTTATCTGGGCAAAGCTTGAAGATTACAACCTGGGAGCATTGATTCAAGTTTTCCTAAATGTACACTCCAATTTGTGGCAGCTACAAGTGTTTGTGTTCTTTTTTTTAATAATTTCAACTTTCATTTTAGATACCGGGAGTATATGTGCGGGTTTGTAAACATGTGTATATTAAGTGATGTGGAGGTTTGGGGTACAGATCCCATCACACAGGTAGTAAGCATAGCACCTGTAGTAGTCTGTTTTCATGCTGCTAATAAAGACGTACCTGAGAATGGGTATTTATAAAGAAAAAGAGATTTAATGGACTCTCAGTTCTACATGGCTAGGGAAGCCTCACAATAATGGAAGAAAGCAAAAGGCTCATCTTACATGGTGGCAGGCAAGAGAGAATGAGAGCCAAGCAAAAGAGGAAATCCTTTATAAAACCATCAGATCTCATGAGACTTTTTCACTACCATGAGAACAGTATGGGGGAAACTGCCCCCATGATTCAATTATCTCCTACTGGGTCCCTCCCACAACACATGGGAATTATGGGAGCTACAGTTCAAGATGAGATTTGGGTGGGTCACAGCCAAACCATATTGGCACTTCTACACTAAAAAGTATCCAAGACAAGTCTCAATCAATTTAGAGGTTTATTTTGCAAGGTTAAGGACATGCCCATCACACAACCTCAGGAGGTCCTGAGAACATGTGCCCAAGGTGGTTGGGCTACAACTTGGTTTTATACATTTAGGGAGACATGAGACATCAATCAATATGTATTAGGTATATAGTGGTTCAGTCTGAAAAGGTGAAGTGAGGGACTTCCATGTTATACGTGGAACTGGAAGTGGGGGAAGTGGGAGGCTTCCAAACTGGAAGTGGGGTTCTTCCAGGTTATAGGTGGATACAAAGGTTTTCTGATTGGCAATTGGTTATTATCTAAAGACCTGGAATGCATAGAAAGGAATATCTTGTTTGTGATAAGGGGTTATAGAGACCAAGGTTTGATCATGCAGACAAAACCTCAAGGTAGCAGGATTCAGAGAGAATAGATTGTAAATGTTTCTTATGGAACTTAAAGAGTCACTTCTATTGGTCTTGAGGTCTGCATTGGTGGTAACAAGGCATATTTTCAGGTTACCTTCGGAATGCCCTTGGCTGAGAAGAGGGGTCTATTCAGATGACTGGGGGCCTTAGAATTTTATTTTTGGTTTACATATCCAATAGGTAGCCTTTCAGCCCACAGTGCCCTCCCTCTCTCTGTCCTCTAGCAGTTCACAGTGTCTGTTGTTCCGAGGAGTGCCCAATGTTTAGCTCCTTGTTATAAGTGAGAACATGCTATAGTTGGTGATTTTTTTTTTTTAGGAGAAAGAGGCAGTTCCTGAATTGTTTACTAAGAATTTACATAAAAATAGCTTAAGCTATTGATTAGCTATACGTTGTTCTCTATATCAGAAATTCCAGAAACAAGAGGATAAGGGGTGAAGCAGCTAATCAGGAACAAAATGAATTGAAATAATTGCCCCCAGACGTGGGTGCAGGGGTTGGGATGTGGAGTGTTGGAGGGTGAAGGCATGACTGATGTCCCACGCTCATATCTCTCTGGGCCTGCATACCTCGCATAGTTCATGCTATTCTGAGCTATTTTACTTTTCTCAACATTTAGATATTTGACTATAGAAATGCTTATAAATATAATTTATACACATATAAATGGCATGTTTGTTATTTATTTAGTTTGAGCTGGAGACTTGCTCTGTCACCCAGGCTGGAGTAGGAGTACAGTGGCACAAATCTTGGCTCACTGCAACCTCTGCCTCCCAGGTTCAAGCAATTCTCCTGCCTCAGCCTCCTGAGTAGCTGGGATTTTAGGCGACCACCGCCACACCTAGCTAATTTTTGTATTTTTAGTAAATATGGGGTCTCACCACGTTGGCCGGGCTGGTTTAGTCTCAAGCTCCTGCCCTCAAGTGATCCACCAACCTCAGCCTCCAAAAGTGCTGGAATTACAGGCATCAGCTACCACACCCAGCCATAATGTCATATTTATTACCTTAATTATGATATTTATAATTTTCAAATGCAGTCTTTTAAAGCAAAATCAAGAGATATTCAAGGACCTTTGAAAATGCAAAACAATTATTTATATTTTTAATGTGCCTTAGAAATAGCTCAATTTACACTGTCGAAAATTTGCATATATAATTTAGTAAGGAATAATTCCACAGTACTCAGTAGGACCTATTAGGTTTCACTAGAATAATTTATATTAGTAAGTCACAAATTAATGCTTATGGACTTTTCAAAAGTTTATGTGTTTCAAGAGAAAGCTAACTTTGCAAAAAGGGTTTATGAAATCATCTAATTAATTCATACATTATAAAAACCACATTAACAATCTCTCAATTTTCTTTCCTCCTTTTGTATAGACAATTAATATAGAACATTTTAAAATAGACTATTTGAATATTGAAAATCCAATTACAGGTAAAGTAGGTGGAGTAATTTGAAATTGCATTCTAATACTTATAATAAATAATTTGTTTTCAGATCATAAATTGCTTACTATAAAGCTTTTCTAACACTTATAAAATTTATGGCAACTTGAGTATTTGACTCATCATGTCACTTTTCAGGATTGTCTTTCTTTTTCAGGAATATTAGGTGTTCTTTGTTTTAACTTTTAAGTTCAGGAGTACAAGTGCAACTTTGTTACATAGGTAAACTTGTGTCTTGGAGGCCTGTTGTATAGATTATTTCATCACCTAAATATTAAGCCTAGTACCCATTAGTTATTATTTCTGATCCTCTTCCTCCTCCCACCCTCAGCCTTCTGATAGGCCCTAGTGTGTATTGTTCCCTTTATGTGCCCATGTGTTCCCATCATTTAGCTTCCACTTACAAGTGAGAACAGAGGCAGTGTTTGGTTTTCTGTTCTTGTATTAGTTTGCTAAGGATTATGGCCTCTAGCTCCATCCATATCCATGCAAAGGACATGATCTTGTTTCTTTTTTTTTTTTTTTTTTTTGGAGACAGAGTCTCACATTGTCCTGTTGCCAAGGCTGGAGTGCAGTGGCTCGATCTCGGCTCACTGCAACTTCCACCTCCCAGGTTCAAGCAATTCTCCTGCCTCAGCCTCCTGAGTGGCTGGGATTACAGGCGCCCGCCAACACGCCCAGCTAATTTTTTGTATTTTTAGTAGAGATGGGGTTTCACTATGTTGGCCAGGCTGGTCTCGAACGCCTGACCTCATGATCCGCCTGCCTTGGCCTCCCAAAGTGCTAGGATTACAGGCGTGAGCCACCGTGCCCGGCTGATCTTGTTTCTTTCTCTCCCTTCCTTCCTCCTTTCCTTTCTCTGTCTTCATTCTGCATTTATCTTTCCCTCTTTTCTCTGTTAATCTCTTTCCCTTCGTTTCTTCTTTCTTTTCTCTTTTGCCTGTATTCCCAATTATAGCGGTAACATTACTTGACTTCAATTGATGGGACTTTTACAGTTTAAATCTTTATACTTATTTATATTCCAAATTAATTATAAGACATTCTTTTTTTTAAGACATTCTAAACTACTTTTTGCCTTGAAATGTCAGTAAGAATAATATCTAAGAAATGTGTCCTATTTTAGTCATATAAAACAAATGTATCAATTTACATTTATATTTTCATTTAAAAATACATATGTAGAACATGTTATGTGTCAGAAACCATCCTTAGAAGCACTTCTAAAATGTAGCGGATTTAATTGTCATCATTAAATTATTAAATAAGCATACCTTATTCATTTCAGTTAGGTATTATTATTATGACCACTTTATACATGAGGACTTAAGGCTCAATGAATTAGGTGATTTTGTCAAGGGCAGTTCGTTTGTGAGCAATAGAATCAAGATTCAAACCTAGACTTTTGGATTATGTAACCACATGTTATGTGTGGAGGGAAATTTAAAAAACAAAACAAAAACTCCAGACACCAAAAAGCAAACAAAACCCCTAAACAAAAGCTAAAAGCTGAATTCTGTTCTTTAGACTATGTCTAAATATTATCTGTCAGTTTTTACACCTCTTTTTTCTTAACAGATGACTGGAGGGAGTGTTGTATTATAGTATAATGGAAAACCTTCATAACCTTGATTACAGCAGCTGAAGAACTCTTGAGAGAGAAAAAAGGAAGATAGAGTTTTGCCTCATTCTCTCCTTATTTAGTGTTCTCAGAAGTCATTCTTAATCTTTTACCTCAATTATCCTTAGTTCATTTATGAAAAAATACAAACCATTCAAACCCTCTGTCATATCATAGCGTATGTGTGACTTGACTTTATGAGTGAAGGCTTTCTGTACGTGTGTTCTGAAATAAAAGCTTAATGAAAACATCTATTTCCTTTTCTGCAGTGTGCAGATGATAATAACGAAGCATGTGGCAATGCTACAGCAGTTATAGTCACATGGATCCGGGACATACTAGAAAGAAACATGTCACTGATCCATGGGCCTGTAAGTGACACAAGCAAAGGCATTCTTACATAGGTTCACTGCATCTATTATTTATCTGATAGAACATGTGTGAAGGTGTTACAAGAGTGCTGGACTTAATATGGATTACTGTGGAACTTCCTATCAAAGCTGATGAGATGAATACTAAAAAAAGGTTAATCAAAGTTTGACACTGGCCCTTACAGAAGCCAGAGCTACTAATTTCCAAATGCTACAACTTTTGAATACTCTAAAATAATCCTAGTGGCAGTGTCAACAGAGTGCTATGGGAAAAGAAAGTGCGGAGGATCAGTGTTGGCTTAGGGGCCTCAGAAAGCGTCACAGAAAAAATGATTGTTTATTGCAGAGAAAGGAGAGAAATCAAACAGGGTGCAACAAGTGCTAAGTCATGGCTTGTCCAGAATACTTTAGAACTTCCTGTATAGTTGAGTCTTGCCTTTTGGGAGACAGGAGGGGTTGGGAAAGCTAGGATTACAAATAAAATTGGTGATATTCAGATTATAGTTGCTTTGAGAATATGCAGTTATTTGGGGGTGTTTAGAAATGGTGTTATTCATGGACACATAGAGGGAAACAAGACACACAGGGTCCTGTGGGTGGGGGGTGGAGGGTGGAGGGTGGCAGGGTGGCGGGGGGAGAGGGTAGAGGGTGGAAGGTGGCAGGGAGAAGGGTGGGGAGTGGGAGGGTGGGAGGGGTGGGAGGGTGGTGGGGGAGGGAGATGGGAGGGTGGGGGGAGGTGGAGAGTGAAAGGGTGGTGGGGGATGGGAGGGGGTGGGAAAGGGGAGAGTGGGAGGGTGGAGATTGGGAGAAAAGAGAGGAATGGGAAAAATAACTAAAAGTAATTGGGTACTAGGCTTAATACCTGGATGATGATATAATCTGTACAACAAACCTCCATGGCACAAGTTTACCTATGTAAGAAACCTGTACCCCTGAACATAAAATAAAGGTTTGAAAGATTAAGTGCCTTGCTAAAAGTTAGAGAATATGTTAATGTGTTATATTCAGAAAGTAAGAGCTTCTAATGCTTTCTACTCCCTTCCCCACAATAATTATGCTAGTTTTCTATTCATCATCTCTATCTAAGTATTCCACATAGTATTTCAGGTTAATGAATATTTTTATATCTCCTATTTCCAGATAAAACCATATAAAGTTCTCTCAGGTCAGACGCACAGAAACACATGTATAAGCTACATCATCATATATCATCACTTTGGTGTTTTAAGTCATAGAACCATTGCTCACTGTAGAACAAGACAGCAAAAATGATGCTTTATGAAAACAGAAAGTAAATTTCACATCTATCATTCATCTTATAAATTCTTTGTATCAAAATTTTAATTAATTAGAGTGACCTAGTTTCCTCACTGTGGAAGAACAATATATGTATATACGTATGTATATGTATATATATATATTTTTAATGTAAGTACTCTCTCATCCAGGAAATGTTCCCTGTTGAGTGATAAGCCTAGTGTGAGAACATAACGTTCAGCCAGCAAAGGTTATATTACATTAATCTTTGTACACTGCTCAATAGTTAAGAGGTTTGGAACCGTTTATAGTAAGGACCATGCTATCAGGTTTTATCAGTGGCTTATTACATAGGTGACAATCAAAACATTATTGCCAAACTTCATGTTAGTTCACAGATTTAATATCTAATATACATTTTACAGTTATTTGAGGCAAGTTACCTTCATTTCTGGGTTGCACACGTATCACTGGGAGAAAATGCAAAGTACATACCAGAGAAGAGGTGAGTTCCCTTTTTCAAGCAGTGCAAACCACAGAAAAACATCAAGCAAAAGATCTAATGTAACTCTGTTGTGAAAAGAGTTGTACAAGTTGTACTAGTAACTAAAATACACCTAGAAGAAAAAAGATTTTTGGTCAACAGACATTTCAGGGCAAAGATATTTGCATTGCTAAGCAGAAATACATTATGCATAATCGGTTAATAGATAAGGAAGAAAAATTCAATATTAAAGACCTTCTTTTGTACCCAATGTATTATAATCTGAGCTAGATGTGTTCCATGCACTGGATTGTTTCATCCTGGTAGTAATTTATAGGTGGGCATTATCGTCTCAGTTATTATGAATACATACTACTGACATGGCAGAACTGCTATTCTGTCACCCTCACATTAATCTCTCTCTACTTCCTGTGTTTGTATACATATATAACATTGTATATAAAGTCTTTTTCTTTTTTTTGAGACAGAGTCTCTCTCTGACACTGAGGCTGGAGTGCAGTGGCAGGATCTCAGCTCACTGCAACCCCCGCCTCCCAGGTTCAAATGATTCTCTTGCCTCAGCTTTGCCAGTAGCTGGGATTACAGGCACCTGCCACCATGCCAGCTGATTTTTGTATTTTTAATACAGATGGGGTTACACCATGTTGGCCAGGCTGGTCTCAACCTCCTGACCTCAGGTGATATGCCTGCCTCGGTCTCCCAAAGTGCTGGGATTACAGGCATGAGCCACCATGCACGGCCAAGTCGTTACCTAAAATATTTCAGTGATTTGGCGGGGAGTGGGAATCCTTGTTGCTTAATATTTTCCTCAATAAAAGTGTCAAATGGTTAATCTCTTTATAGATTATCTTCCTTTTGATATTTATAATAATTATATTTGAAACTCTCAGAAGACCAGATGAACTCAAACTACAGTGCCACAAGAGACATTGGAAATTCTGTGTGTCATACCGGACATTAATTATATTTCAAATAACAGGAATTCCTTTAAACAGGCTGAAACAATAAACATACAAAGAGTTTACTCAGCATTTATTGTGTGTTGTGCATTTGTATGTTTGTTCAATGAGTCACTTACCCCATAGGAGAAGTTTAGTCACAGGATTTTTCAGAAAGCCTAAGAGGGTCATGAATGAAAATATCCTCCTATTAAGATATTAAGCCTATCACATGTGGCATATAAGTGATGTGAAATTCATGCTCTTAAGTGATGTATTTCAAAGGACAGCCTGTTTCAAGGTATGGTAAAATGATATATGTACAAATATTGCCCTGTGGGTGTGTAGAACTGAGGCTCTTAATGACACTTTGACGATTTGTGAGACTCTTGCCATCCTGTAAATAGTCATAGCAGCTACACCTTTCACTGGAAACAGGGAATTTTCCCAAGATCTGTCTCTCACCTTCTGGTTCAAAAATTCTTGCTCTCCTTTGACAAGCCCGTCTCTTGGGTTACGGCTCTCTCTCTAGCAAATCCTCCAGAGGATAACAGGAGAGTCTGTGCACTGACTTTCAGAGGTTCCCTTGATCCATTGCTTTTGAGCTGAATCTAATGCCATAGTGCAGAACCTTACACTGGACCTGTTGCCCCATGATTTTGATTCCCAGAAGTGGAGATGTTGGCTACCATACCATATTCCAAAATATAAGATGAGTTCACAAACCAGCTGAAGAACTCACGAGGAAGTGTCAGGGCAAAGGCAACTTTAAGAACTGCTGTTTTCGATGAGCTAAGTGAGAATAAAACAAAAATTCCCCTATTTATGTATCAATAGCTATGCACTGACAGTTTTTACAAGTGTAATTATACACAAGCAAATGGAGGTAAAAAATCAAAATATCCTCCAGAACCAGATATTCTTGAATTTAAAGACTTATTTGACTACTCTAAATCTCTGAAAACACTTCTAGTATTCAAAAATGTGGCATAACTTATGTGGGCCAACTAAACTAGAAAATGGTGAGTTTTAATATTTATATGATGACAAGATCACCATGACAGAATAGAATGTTCCCAAAACAGCTTCGAGCAATAATAGATCCAGCGCAAAAAAAAAAAAAAAAAAAAGCTGGAGGATTTAGCTCTGCCAGTTATTGACTATGTGACCTGGTGCAATTACTATTATTACCTATTTGACATTTTCAAATCACATGACTTACTTCACAAGTAAGAACACCAATGTCCCTACCGAGGTTTGTTTTCAAAGAATCAGGAAACCCAACTCCAGAAAGTGCTATTCATACTGTTTTCATGAATGGTGCTCCGTGACCTTGATAACATATGTCCCTAGAGCTGTAAGCCATGGATTTGGCTTTCAGATGGTGTCAATTAAATAATGTAAGCTAAAGAGCCACAGATTTTAAAATGTTACATAAATCTTACTGAGAAAGTGATTAAAAATAATCATCTTCAAGCTCACACCAAATGACAGTTAATACAGAGTATTTTAGTCCTCATAAATAATAAAAACAAGAATGATGCACAGGTACCATTATTTTCAACATTGTTCTAAAGATGAAGAAATTAAGGTATAGGGATTACACATCTAGATAGTGGAGGAGTGAATTTTGAAACCCAAACGAGTTGACATAAAAGAATGACAACCTTTTAACTGCCAAGCTGTATCCACTATCATGCCGATTTCAAAGGATAGCATGGTATTGTGCCGCTTTATTTTTTGTAAAAGAACCAACAATACATGCAACTTGAAACATTCCTATAGATAGATGATTTTATGATTGCCAGGGTGTTTGAGATGACACACAAACAACATGCATCTCAGATTACTGAATAGAACAGAGAATTGCATGGACATATATGAACATTATGTATCATTAGGGTTTTGGTTCATCTTTCAAGTCAAGCTGGTACAGGCTGGTTGACATTTCCTGGTAAAAGGGTGGGAGAACCAAAAAAATACATCCTTTCTCAGATATGACTTTTGTGACTATCTTGAGAAGAAGAATCCATGCCCGATTTATCTCTGCATTTCTGTTTTCACACAGAACAAATAAGTGCTGAATAAAGTTTATTTGAATGAAAAACAAGCCTACGTAGTAATAACAATGTGGAAAGGAGTAATTATTCTGTCCTGAGGTGCAAAAGATGGTTTAAAAAGGTTTCTAGGTGAATTAGAAAAAAAAAATGCTTTTGACATCTAAGACATGTGTATATCCATTTTCCTTACTGATATATTTTCTATTAAACTTAGAAATAATTATCTGCCTAATGGAAAGAACTGTTTATAATTGATGTATGTGAAAATGAGCTGAAAGAGGAAAACATTCAGTCTATATCTCTACAGTTATGTGTTCAATGGTAGTATTGATACTAGCAAATGTATTTGGTTCTTCTACTTTGTTTAATCTATTTAATAACACTTAGTGTAATATTGACCTTGGGATTCAGAAAAAAATATTCCAGGTGAGGCATGATGGCTCACACCTGTAATCCCAGCACTTTGGGAGGCTGACACTGGAGGATCTGTTGAGTTCAGGAGTTTAAGATCATCCTGGGCAACATACTGAGACACTGTCTTTACAAAATAATTTTTTAAAAAATTACCCAGGAGTGGTGGCATGTACCTGTATTACCTTGGGAAGCTGAGGCAGGAAGATCCCTTGAACCCAGGAGGTGAAGGCTGTTGTGAGCTGTGATTGCACACTGCACTCCAGCCTGAGTGACAGAGTGAGACCCTGTCTCAAGGGAAAAAAAAAATCAAACAATTTTTGAAGTCAGAATAGAGTAGCAGTGCGATTGTACGTAGCCTGTATGTGTTGCGTGTGCAGAATGCAACATATTTCCATGGCTACTTCCGAAATTTCAATCATCCTCTTCCAGAATTTCCTTCTCCAGTTACCAACAAATATTTATTAGGGAATAAATATGTGCTAGCCACTGAGATACAAATACAGACTTATGTACTCCTCTCCTAGGGACTGTATTCTACCATGGAACTAGATCTTCTGTAAGATCGAGGCACAGATCATCGGCAAGTCTAAAAGGAAATTAAAAGATAATTTTTAAGGAGTTCTAATTTTCCTTCATTGTTGATGACTTTTCACAGTATTACTTCCTTGTTGGTATATGAGAACAAAATGCTGGCTTGTCACATGGTTCTTAGAAAGACTGTCTAGTCATAAGAAACATTACTTGACTTACTTAATTCTCTGGCAGTTTTATAATGGCATATACAATTTCTATACACTACTTTAAAATGGAGTCAATGTAATTTTCAGCAAAGCTTTGGAACAGATTCAGCCAATGTTTGTCGTAACATAGGGATGCATGCTGGAAATGGTTCTCTCTGCTTCTGTGGCTGGGTGCTCCTGGAGCCAATGCTATACTGCAAAAATGAAGCACTATGTTGATGATATTTCTTTAATCAATTATTCTGCCAATAAGGTGCGTTAGTTTATATGCCTAACTAGCATTCTTCTTCTGAGCGAGGTGCATGAGGTACCTGAGAGATCACTATTATTGTGTCATTGAATCATAGTTCTATTATTTTCAGAGAAAATTTTCATTTCTCAACGGTTAAATGTCTCTACAATTCAGTATGTCTCATGCCTAGCTCTCTAAAGCCACAGAACTTATCAAAACTAGTCTTAATATCTGTAAATACTGACTGTTGGTTAAAAGTCTAGGCCCTGTGGTTAAACTGCCTGGAATGAAATCTTGGCTTAGATACTAACTAAATATGTGATCTTGAGCAACATAATTTCTCTCTGACTGAGTTTCCTAATACACAGAAAGAGAAAAGTCACACCAGCTATATAGGGTCATTGTGAGGTTTAAATGAGATAGTACATGGACAAAAATGTCTTGCCAAAGTAAGCACGTAACGGATATTAGCTACAGTCCTCATCATTGTCTGTGCCCCTTTTTGTCGTGTATCACCATAGAAAAGAAGGGAACGACTCGACTTAAAAGTTTTCTGGTAGTTCTTATCTAAATGATGCAAATAGATGAATTTTTAATACATGGATGTGGATTTGTGATATTTTTAGGCTTTTGTGTTTGCACAGATAATTATGGCTTTTTAAAGAATCAAGTTATCAGATCATTTCATTTTCAGATATTAAAAAATAATGAAAATGGAAAAGTACATTGAAAATGTGATCATTGAGGGAATATATTTAGCAATAAGGAGATGACAATGCAACCAGGAGGGGCGAAGAGAGAGACAGAGATATAAATGAGCAAAACTTTCTTTGCTTTTGCAAGATCTGTTGTTTATAGGATAAGCCCAGTTGTTTTGCAGTCTAGCACTGATGCTTTCCATGGGAAGAGCACAGGCTGTGTATGTGCATGTGTGTGTGAGTTCAAGTGGTTTTACATTACTAATGAAACACAGACTTTTCCCAAGATAATCAACTGGGGATTATAATTTACAGCAAAGAAGGTGTAGGTGCAGAAACTTAATTTCTGTGGCTAAAAACAGCTGGAAGTAAAGATGTCGCTGAAAAGACATTGTTGGTCCCTAAGCTAGTATTGACCCCACATGGAGAGGGAATCCCACAGCATTAAATAGGCGTCTGTAGACACAAACTGCCATGAAGTGATTCATTTATAAGGAAGGTACTAATTTTAAATAATACTCAAATCATTGTTAATTTCTGTACTATTTAATAGTATTAATCAGAGTGAACTCATCTGATACAGCAATAATCATAAGAACTGTTCTATAAGTTTCATTTCAAATTCTGCAATAATCATTGTGTCATCATGTTATCACATACTGTTATGCGCATCCATGTGAAGCGACCACCACACAGGCTTTGTGTGAGCAATAAAGCTTTTTAATCACCTGGGTGCAGGCCAACTGACTCTGAAAAAGGAGTCAGCAAAGGGAGATAGGGGTGGGGCAGTTTTATAGAATTTGGGTAGGTAGTAGAAAATTATTACAGTTAAAGGGGGTTGTTCTCTTGTGGGCAGGGGCAGGGGTCACAAGGTGCTCCTGAGATTCATTGTCCAGGAGAAGGAGTGTCACAAGGTAAATTGATCAGTTGAGGTGGGACACGAGCAAATCACAATGGTGGAATGTCATCAGTTAAGACAGGAACTGGCTATTTTTCACTTTTGTCGTTCTTCAGTTGCTTCAGGCCATCTGGATGTATACGTGCAGGTCACGGGATATGATGGCTTAGCTTGGGCTCAGAGGCCTGACACATACCAATTGGAGAATGTTGCCATGAAATGACATAAAAACAAAGACTATTAATGACTATCCTAATTATACTAGGAAGTAAATCAAAACTCTTCATCAGTTAGCTACCATTCTTGTTAGCTGATTACAGCATGCATGTAAAAAATGTCTGGTAAAAATTATAGTATGTAAAACTAAGATATTTAGCTATGAAAACTTTCTATGTTCATCTTTTATTATACAGCTTACATGATGCTTCAAAAAATAATTATAAATGTTGGCATTTTTAAAACACTTTTTCACGAATGTATTTGAAAAGTCTCTTCATATCAGAATTTAGGAGGCATACACATATGCTGTTATATACAGTTATATATACTTTACTAAAAATTGTTTCCTTTTGACTTGCCCTCTGATGAGTAACATTTCACAAGGTTACTCGGGTAACCTTGAGTAAATTACTCCATTTGGCTAATCCTTAGTTTCTTCTCTATGAGTGGTGATCAAAATGCCTACCCTGTCTTTTGAAAGCCAAATTAAGATAGGGGTTATCAAGCAGTGAATTGCCATAAAATGTATTATGCATATTTTATCACATTTGTATTGTTATTATAAATATGTGTTTATATGTATATCCTCCTTAGTGACCATGAGATCATCCAGGGTAGGAGCTCTCTGGAAATTTAGAAAACAAAGGAAAAAAAAAATTGAGGAAGTGGAAAATACAAAGGAATTTTCTCAGTGGTGTTTGTTCTATAAGCTCTAAACAGTAGGCCACCAACGTCCTTGAGAATCTTTCATTTATCTGTCTGTACCTCATAATTATATCTGTCACTCTCGTTTTATTATCAGAAGATTTGCACAGTTCATTTTAAAGTCTAACTTGTCCTTTGTGCTGACTGCCACGCATGTCTGATGAAATATAACAAATTGAACAGAGGTGCCATTATTAAAGCAATCTGATAAAAAGCTGCAGTTGTGAGGTACACTGAAGAATATATTTGGTTTCTTCAGGGAATCAAAAGCATTTCACATTTAAGTTATTTTCTGGAAACTTTTATGTGAATATACTACATTTTATCATGCAGAAATACTGTGTATCTTTTCTTTCTTTTGTAAAAGAGAGCAAACAGGATGGATATATCAATGAGTTACTACTAAGGTTTCAGTTTTTCTCATATGACAGACCCCCTGTAGGAAGAGGAATGGTGTTTCCATCAAAATTTGATTATTTTTATATTAATATTTTTATTAATTTTTTTCAAATTTATATATATCTATTTAAATCTTAAGATAATTTTGCAAATAGCCACACACACAATTTTTCTAAATTTGATGAGTCTTCCATTTCACATAATTACAGGAAATTTTCTCTTCATGTGATTCCTATCTGCAAGAATTCCATTTACTGGAATCGATTTAAATAATACCAGTCTTCCAACAACAGTTCAATTTCAATCCACAGCGTACTAACCATAATTGCATAAATTACAAACTTTGCTGCTAGGCCTTCAGTCCACAATTCACTACATAAAGAGGAGACATACGTCATGATCAGTAACCAATCATGACACTTCTTTCAAAGTCTCCAGTGATTGGTCACTGCACATGTATAATTTGTATAATTCAGTTTATGCAGAGACAGGGACTTCATTCCCCTGTGTTCTGACCAGTTGGAGCTCCCAAAATGCCTGTGGCTACAGTTTGCTCACAGTGGTCACAAGTCTATTGAAACATGAATCTTATTAATAGGTTTTTGTTTCTCCAGATTAAAGTCACAATTACCAAAGATTTAAATAAATGTTTTGTATATGTGAAAACTCTTTAATGGCCTCATTTGCAAGTTGTTTTATGCGTATGATAGCTAGAATCTGCTCTCGACCAGTAGAAGGTAGTAGCATTTGCCAGAAATTTTGTAATGGTTCACAGACAATTCTATGCAAACAAGGTAATATTTCCTATGTTTTTATGTATAAATTATTTAGGAAAGGGGAAAATACATCATGATAATTTTTGAAAGAAAAAAGCCTTTAAAATTTTTCTGTTTCTCTTTTTCTAATTTCTAATACAGTTTATTTTGAGTGAAAAGGAGGAAAGGGAACTTAATTTGTGAAGCAACTGTTTCATTTTGTCAGTCCTCTGGGCTAAAAATATATAGAATGATTGGAAAGAACATGAAAAACTGTCATCTGGAACAGTTCCTAAAGTGAATGTGCAGTCACACCTTTACTATTCTCTGATTATGCTGTGATTCTGGAAAATAAACAAGGTGTGCATTTCTCATTGAAATATGTCTTGGAATCTTCTCCAAATTAATACCTGCATGTTATATGATGCATATCCATATGTGTACCTATAGCTGTTTATGTGCAAATGATAACTACTTTAACCAAACAATTTCCGCCATTTTCTTAATATTTCCATTGGGTAATCACCTTCTTTAGGAAAATGCTGAGTCATAATGATAAATATAAAGCCACTAATTTGGATCTGTTTCTTTTCTCTAAGCAATATGTTCAATGAGAAAAACATGTAAAGATGCTCCTCGATTTACAATGGAGTCACAACTCAATAAACCCATTGTATGTTGAAAGCAATGTAAGTTGAAAATGCGTTTAATACCTAGCATGCATCACAGCTTAGCCAAGCTTACTGTAAACATTCTCAGAACACTTACATTAGTCTACAGTTGAGCAAAATTATCTAACACAAGTTCTATTATATAATAAAGCATTGAGTAGCTCAGGTAATTCATTGAACACTGTACTAAAAGTAAAACGCAGAGTTGTATGGGCACTCAAAGTATGATTCTACTCAATACTCATTTGCTTTTGCACCATCATAAAGCTGAAAATTTGTAAGGCAAATAATCGTAAGTCAGGGAGGGTTTGTAGTTTCCTTTTTAACAAAATGGCAGAGGATTCTTTATGTGTTTCCAATGTTTCTTTACTGAATGTTAGAGCCAGGTTCGTAATTCTACCCATACTACCAACCCCGAAACTCTCCTCCCCCTTTTGCATTCACTCTCATCTCAAATCTCTATGTCTTGCAATGGTCAAGTTGGCATGAATTAAATTGTTTAACCTGTAAATTCAACAGTGTTCAGAGATGTATAAAATGGGCAAATTCAGTGACTACTTTGAACAATGGAAACATGGCTTTTCAATGGTAACGTCTTGGATTGGATTCAAATCAGGCCCCTAAAAATTTAAGGTCCTAAAACCCATTACGAATGTTCTGAGACATCCAATGATGCACAAGGGTCCTTCTAGAACTGCTAGCTTTAAAATGTGTAAAATTGGTCAGAGATGACAGTCTAACTAGCAAAAAAGGAATGTGTCTTTCAGGTTCCTGGAAATAATGGGCACATTTATGTTTTTCATCTCTAGTTACTGTCATCTCTGCAGTCTTACGTAGTCTTCTACATTTCCTTTTGTCTTGTAAAAATGCTTTTCTGTTAGAGTTTATGCTTTCATACAATAAACATTTACATAGAGACCTGTCACAGTGGTGAGCATGTAAAATGCATTTAGGAAATGCCGTTTGATGTTGTATTTGAATTGACATTTTCCCTACATAAAAACCTTTAAAACTTATACCAGTAAAGGCCAACTTTTTAAAAGGTAGTCTCCTTTTATGCATACTAAGAGTTATCCTGTTGGAAACTGCATAAGCATCTAATCAGTGCTTGCTAATTGTGGGTGCTTTCAGCCAGAGCATGAAATTGGGCACACAATTAGCAAACTGAAGAAATGTTTAATTGCAAGTGCAATTTTAACCTATTGTCAAGAGGGAAAATAGAAAGGATGAAAATGACCATTTTGATTGTGGTTAACAAAGAATTAAAATAGATAAAGAGTTTGGACCCTTGAGGAGCAAATCTCAGTTCCAATATTTATTTGTCTAACTTTGGACAATCCCTTGATCACTGTAAGCATCAGTTTTTGTTGTTTTTTCATGTGTAAATGGGGATCATAATGTTTTAATTGCAAAGTTTCTGTAGCTATCTGAGATAGAAGCTTGAAACCACCTAACATGGTGTAAATTATGTATGTGATAGCCACTCAGGAAGTGATTGCTATTATGACTATTATTTTGAATATTAATACTACTGATGCTACAATAAAGCAAACCAAAATGTCATCCATTTTTTCCCTGCAGTTCGTCAGCCACCATGGTATGAAACTGCCATGAAATACACTATCCATTATGCTCTTAAGTATTCCTTACCTTGAACTATAGTATACGGTAAAAGGGCACTGGACTTGAGATGAAGGAAGTGAGTTTTAATTCTGATTGTGTCATTTACTTGAGTAATCTTGAAGAAATCACTTGATATCTCTGAAATTCAGGCTTGTTAGCTATAAAATGGAGACGATACCTACTTCAAAAGATCCAAGAGAGAATAGTAACAAAGATAGCATTGTGCTTGACATATTAGCTGTGTAATAATCTTCCATTAAGTTTAATAAAATGGCTCTGCATATAGTGAGTGCTTCTAGAAATTTATGCTAAGAATTAAGTTTATTTTCACTTTCATGTATTTTCTTATGCTGATGTTATGAATTAGATGTCTTATTTTTTGACATTATGTACCAAAAAAAAATCTGCAAGCAGAAACAAATAATTTATTCAATCAAAATTTTATAACTCCATTAACTTTGTTTCTTCTTACTCTCTATATGTGTTTTGAGGTTTTTTCTTTGATTTTCTTATTGTACATGTGTTGTTATTATTGAAAATTTTTGAGACATTAATAGTAAAATAAGCTAGGCTCCAGGATACTTAGAATAGGGAAAAATATTATAAGATATAAGTTTAATTCTTATTCTGCCAGAATATTATACCTTGACAAGTAATCTCCCCTCCCTGGGTTCTGTTTCCTCATCTATTAAATTGCAATGTTACTGACATTAGTATTTTTATCAGTGCCAAATGAAATACTGAGCAACAAAGTATATTTTAAGATTGAAAAGCAGTGTAATTATTGATTTTTATTTTAAGTTCTGGGGTACATGTACAGGATGTGCAGGTTTGTTGCGTATGTAAACGTGTGCCATGGTGGTTTGTAGCACCTATCAACCCAACACCTAGGTATTAAGCATAGCATGCATTAGCTATTTTTCCTAATGCTCTCCCTCCCCATGACCCCATCCCCCGACCAGCCCCAGTGTGTGTTGTTCCCCTCCCTGTGCCCATGCGTTTTCATTGTTCAGCTCCTAATTTTAAGTGAGAACAAAAAAGCAGTGTAATTATTTTAAAATTCCAGATTAAAAAAAATCATTTCACATAAAGTATGAATATTTGCTTCCTGGTTTTATGAAGCTAAAAATAATATTTTTGTTCAGAGAAAAATCATACATTGTTTAAGAATATAATTGGAAAATAAGAAAGGTAAGTGATGAACTGAGAGAAGCAAGGAATATAATTAAAACTCAGCATCTAGAGAGCTAAGGAAGAGAGCTGCTGTTGTAAAGAATAGACAAAGGGCTAAATAGAAAATAATTTGGGGTTATGTGTAAACAATACTTTTCATTTTGTGAAAGGTGTAAGTTCCATTTATAGATTTACACTTTTCCACGTGGATATCCACTTGTTCCAGCATCATTTGTTGAAAAGACTACTTTTTCCATTGACTTGCCTTTGCTCCTTTGTCAAAGAACTATTGATTATATTTGTGTGGGTCTATTTCTGGACTGTCTATTCTGTTACATTGATGTATTTGCCTATTCTTTCAATGATGCTACCCAGTCTTGATCACTATGGCCTAATATAAGGTCTTGAAATTGGGTAGGGTAGGTCCTCTTTCTCATCCTTCAGTATTGTTTGGCCATGCTGGGTCTTTTGCCTTTCCAGATAAACTTTAGAATCAGTGTGTCAATATTTACAAAATAATTTACTGGAATTTTCGTTGAGATTGCATTCAGTCTATAGATTAATTTGGGAAGAATTCAGGTTTTAACAATATTGAGTCTTTCTATTCATGATCATATCTTTACATTTATTCAAATCATCTTTGATTTAATGTAGTTAACATTTTGCAACTTTTCTCATGTAGATCTTATACATATTTTGTCGGCCTTATATCTAAGTGTTTGATAATTTTTGTGCTAATGTGAATGATTTTATATTTTTAATTTTAAATTCTGAGTGTTCATTGCTGGTATATAGGAAAACAACTTTTGCACATTAACCTTGAATCCTACAACATTACTATAATTAGTTAATTGTTCCTGGAACTTCTTTGTTGATTCTTTGGAATTTTCTACATAGGTAATCATGACATTTGCATACTAAGGTAGTTTTAATTCTTTCTCCCCAGCCTGTATAAATTGATTTCCTTTTCTAATTGCATAAGCTAGTACTTTCATGACAATGTTGAATAGGAGTGGTGAGACCAGACACCCTTGTCTTGTTCTCTCTCTTAGGGGGAAAGCATCCAGTTTCACACTGTTTGCTATGATATTAACTACAAAAACTACGTTTTTGTAGATATCTATTATCAAGTAGAAGTTGTTCCCCTTTATGCCTAATTTGTTCAGAGTTTTTATGAGAAATGTGTGTTGGATTTTGTCAAATGCCTTTTCAGCATTATAGATATGATTGTATGATATTTCTTCCTTAGCCTATTGTGATAAATTACATTGATTTTTAAATTACATTGATTTTTAAATTAATTAATTATTTTTTTTGAGACAGGGTCTCACTCTGTCACCCAGGCTGGAATGCAGTGGCATGGCCACAGCTCACTGCAGCCTCTACCTCCCTGGCTCAGGTGATTCTCCCACCTCAGCCTCCCATGCAGAACTATAGGCCCACACTACCATGCCCAACTATTTGTTTTTGATTGTTTTTCATATTTTTTTTGTAGAGAAGGGGTTTCCTCGTGTTGCCTAGTCTGGTCTTGAACTCATGAGCTCAAGCAATTCACCTGCCTCAGCCTCCCAAAGTGCTAAGATTACAGGCGTGAACCATTATGCCAGGCCAATTAATGTTTAATTTACAAATAAGCATATATTTAGCATGTACAACATGATGTTTTAAATATGCATATTTTGTTGAATGGCTAAATAGCTAATTAACATATATATTACCTCACATGGTTATTTATCAGGTTTTGAATTTGAACCAACCATTGTATCTGGAATAAAGCCCACTTAGTCATGGTGTATAATTCTTTTTATACATTGGATTTGATTTGCTAAAATTGTCTTGAAGATTTTTGCATTTATGTTCATGAGAGATATTAGTAATTTTCATTTCTTAACAGATCTTAGTCTGGATGTGGTGTTGGAGTATTGCTGGCCTCCTAGAATGAGTTAGGAAGTATTCCCTGTGTTTATATTTTCTGTAAAAGTTTGAAAAAAATTGACTTAAATTCTTCCTTGGGAGTTTGGTAGATTCACCAGTGGAAACATCTGGGACTGATGCTTTCTCTTTTGAAAAGTAACTAATTGTCAATTAAATTTATTAAACCTATTCAGGTTATTTATTTCTCCCTGTGTGCAATTTTTATATTGCGCCTTCTGTGGAATCAGTCCGTTTCATCTAGGTTATCAAATCTGTAAGCATGAAATTGTTTAAAATGCTTACGCCTAATTTCTTAATGTCTATGAAGTCAATGTTAATTACTCTTTTTCATTTCTGATCTTAGTGATTTGTATGTTTTCTCTGTTTTCTGGTTAGCTTGGTTAGAGGATTAACAATTTTATTGAACTTTTCAAAGAACACTAGCTTTTGGTTTCATTGATTTACTCTACTAATTTCCTGTTTTCAATTTCATTTCTTTCTGCCCTAATTTGTATTATAGATTTGCTTCTGCTTACTTCAGATTTATTTTGCTGTTATTTTTCTCACTTTCTAAAGCAGAAACTTTTATTTATTTTAGATCTTTCTTTTCTAATACATGCATTCAGTGCTACAAATTTCTCTCTCATCACTGGTTTTGTCGCATCCCACACATTTTGAAAAGTTGTATTTTAATTTTCACTTCAAACTATTTTTATTTTTTCTTCAGACTTCTTCTTTGACTCATGTAATCCTTAAAATTTATTGTATTCTGCAAATATTTTGGAATTTTCAGCTTCTTTTTATTTTTGACTTTGACTTTAATTTCATTCTGGTGTAACAGTATACTTTAAATAACTTCAATAGTTTAAATTCATTAAGCTGTGTTTTGTGACCTAGAATGTGGTATATCCTGGTGAATGTGCCAGGTAGGCTTAAGAAGAATATATATTTTGTGTTGTCAGATGGTGTAATTAAAACCAGTTAATTGTTGGTGCTGTTCTGATTAACTATGTCTTATTTGGTGTGTGTTGACTCTGTCAATTGCTAATAGAGGGGTATCATAGTCTTCAACCATAATAGTGGGTTTACTTATTTCCCTTTGCAGTTATATCAGTTTTTATCTCATGTATTTTGACACTCCATTAGGCACAGACACAATAAGGATTATTCTGTTTCATCAGAGAGTTAATACCTTTTTAAATTTATTTATTTATTTATTTATTTTGAGACAGGGTCTTGCTCTGTTGCCCAGGCTGGAGTGCTGTGGCGCAATCTTGGCTCACTGCAACCTCTGTCTCCTGGGCTCAAACAATTCTCCCTGCTCAGCCTCCTGAGTAGCTGGAACTACAGGCATGTGCCACCACACCGGGTTAATTTTTGTGTTTTTTGCTAGAGACAGGGCTTCATCATGTTGGCCAGGCTGGTCTCAAACTCTTGACCTCAAGTGATCTTCCCTTCTCAGCCTCCCAAAGTGCGGGGATCATAGGCGTGAGCCACCACGCTTGGCCCTTATTTTAAATGCCTCATAATTTTCCTTACTCACAAGTCTGCTTTGTCTGAAATTTATATATTTACTCTAGATGTTTTTGGTTAATGTTAGCATTGCTGTATCTTTCTCCATCCCTTCATCTTAATTTATATGTGTCTTTATATTTAAAGTGAATTTCTTGTAGCCAACCCATAGTAGGTTCTTGTTTTTAATCCACCGTGATAAGCTCTTTTGATTGGTATATTCAGATCATTCACATTTAAAGTGATTAATGATATATTTATATTAATGCCTACCATAATTTATAACTGCTTTCTAGCCATTGTCCTTGTTTTTGTTTTTACATTTTGTTTTGTTTTACATACTTTCCTGCCTTCTTCAGTTTGAAGTGCGCATTTGATATTTTCTACTTTCTCTTATCTCTTTTTTACTTCTATTTTACCTGTTTTTAGAGATTACCTTAGCGTTTGCAATATACATTTGCAATATACATTTGCAATAATCCAAGTCCACTTTCAAATAACTCTACCTTACTTCACAGGCGTCACAGGTACATTAACGTATTCCCAATTCCCCCTATGTCATCACATGTAACATTGCTCATTCATTTCTCATTTATCTGTAAGCTAGAACCATCCAAAATATTGCTGCTATTATTAATTAGAACAAATTTTATGTTGTATCCTCTAAGAACCAAAAAAAATTATTTTACCTTCATTTATTTTTTCTTAAATACTCTTTCTTTATGTAGATCCAATTTTCTAATCTGAGTCATTTTTTTCTCTGAGTAATTTCTTTTAATATTTTTTAAAAGGGAGGCTTGCTACCGAAAATATTACTTCAAGTTTCATTTTTCTGAGAAAGTCATTATTTCCCTTCAAAGAATTTCACTTGATACAGAGTTCTAGGCTGTACTTTTATTTGTTTTTATTTAAATATTTAAAATTTTATACCACTCTCTTCTTGCTTACATGATTCTATACAGTGTTGGCTTCCTCCACCCCTTCTTGGCTTCTTTGAAGATTTTCTTCTTGTTTGATTTTCTGCAGTTGGAATATTATGCCAGGAAGGAGATTTTTAACTGTTTATCAGAGAGTTTGGCACTCTCTGAGTTTCCTAGAACTGTGATTTGTTGTCTGTCTTTGAATTCGAAAAAGCATCAGCATTATTTCTTGGGCTCTTCCTTCTGTTCCTTTCTCTCTCTCTTTCTCTCTCTCCTCCATATATTATTTGCGTTATGCACATTACACATTTCGTAACACTCATACATGTGTAGAATGTGCTCTTCCATATTTTTCATTTTTTTACTCTTTACATTGTAATTTAGAAAGTTCCTATTGACATATCTTCAAACACATTATTTCCTTGACTGTGTCCAGCCTACTAATGAACCCATCCAAAGCAGTCTTTATTTTTATCTTTTTTTTCTTTCTTTCTAGCACTTCCTTTCAATTCTTTCTTGGAGTTCTCATCTCTATGCCTGCATTACCTATGTATTCTTTCATGTTGTTTGTTTTTATCATTTGAGGTTTTAATATACTCATGATAGTTATTTTAAATTCCCAGTTCAATAATTGCAAAGTTTCTGCTGTATCTAAGTAGGTTATGATGTTTGTTTTGTCTCTTTAATCTGTGTTCTCTGACTTTAACTTGCCTTGTAAAATATGATGCATGAGGGAAAATAAAACACATAGTGCCTTAGCCTGAGGTTTTATGTTAGTCTGCCCAGGATTTAAGCTGTGTCTACTATTTGCTGTAGCTATATGTGACAGAGACTAAAATGTTTTTGTCTCCCCTGTTGTTATTGGGTTGCCACAGAGAACTTATCTTAAATAAGATCTGAGACATGAAGGCTTTTCACTTGTATTCCCTCATTATTATGCAGGAGTTCTGCTGATGTGGTGATAGGGTGTGAGGGAGGATAGGCATTCTACAGTCTCATAATTAGGTCTCAGTGTTTTAGTGAGCCTGGGCCCCTGGGTTGTGACCATCACAAGGGTTTCTCGGCTTTTTATCCACTTATGTGATACAAGAAGGCTAGAGGGAGCTGGGGTTAGGTATTTCTCTTCTTTAAGATTAATTCAGCTCTGGTAAAACCTCAGTCCATTGGGCTGTAGTAAACTAGTTTTCTTTGAGGGTAGGCCTTTGTTAAGAACAGGATTTCTAGGCTGGGCATGTTGACCCATGCCTGTAATCCCAGCACTTTGGGAGGCCGAGGTGGGAGGATCATCTGAAATCAGGAATTCGAGACCAGCCTGGCCAACACAGCGAAACCCCGTCTCTACTAAAAATACAAAAATTAGCTGGGTGTGATGATACATATTCATAATTTCAGCGACTCGGAAGGCTGAGGCACAAGAATCTCTTGAACCTGGGAAGCGGAGGCTGCAGTGAGCAGAGATTGTGCCACTACACTCCAGCCTCAGTGACAGAGTGAGACTTTGTCTCAAGAAAAAAGAAAAAGAAGGAAATATTCAGGGGGTATTTCACAATCTGGGCTTTCCCCTTTCCCTGATAAAAGAACAAGGGGATTTTTCTCCCACCTTTAACTGAAGAACTTGGTAGACCTCTTGGATGTAAAATGAATAAGAGTGTAGCCCCTTCCAAGACTGGACCTCAAAGGGTTTTCATCCCTCAAACTAGTCAACACCCGGTGTCCAGTCATTAGTCAATTATCCCTTCAGTTTTCTGGTTGTTGGATCTAGTGTTGACTTCTTTTGGTGTGCTGTGACTCATTCTGTGTGTTCACCTGTCCTTCTGGTTTTCAAAGGGGGCAGTGGTTTGCCCTGTGATCCTGATTATCTGAAGGATCTAAGAAAAATTACTAATTTTCAGTTTAGTCAGCATTTTTCTTATTGTGAGGACCAGAGTGATGATTTCTAAACTCTTTAAAAGTCAGATAAGACTAATCTTGTTTTTTAAATTAAAAAAATAAGTATGTAGTAACTAGATAACTTCAGTAATCTGAAAGTCTGACCTTCAGGAAGCTCAATTATACCTAAAGGCATTGTACATGTATGTTTATAAAAACTACCTGTGACAATGAAAAAGTAGGCTCTAGGCAGTGAAAATATACTGTGTGGGGGCATTCAAAGGAAGTTATATCAGAATAAGAAATCAAAAATATTTGCATCTTTGTATTATTTTACTATGTATTTGATTATGCCAGTATGTTTCTAGAGAAGAGAAGAGAAACAATAAAATCCCAGTCATTGTTTATTTCAAAATGTCCTTAGTTAGCTCTGCGTGCAGGCAGGCCACCATAAATGTGCATCCACAAATCCAAGTCCACGGTCCAGGGGGAGTTTCCTGTAACACAATGCAAAACTGAGATATAATCCATCAAATACTGCAGACTCAATATATATTTGCAAGCCAACAAAGGATAAGAATCCCAAGGTCCTCTGAGTAAAAGTTGAAAGAGCACATAAAATTATGCTAGCCTTAGGAAAGAAATTGGAGAACAGGACAAATGTTTAGGTTCTATTTAATATTATTTGCCTGAATAATATGGAGTCAAGGCTCTGAAAAAAAAAAGTAGATCAAACAAGGATGATTTTTCCAAGTGATTTTATCACCATTTTTTCCTTTAGTAGAAAAAATAAATAAAACCAACTGCTTATCTGTTGGCGGGAAAGATATTTTTCAGTTAAACAATTGCACAAGGCCGATGTTCTGCTGGCCTGCTTCAGTAAGGCTCTAAACATTATTAAAATATTTCTTTTCAGCTTGTTGGTAAAGCCACTGCCCTTAGACCTCCAGATGCCCCTCATCATGAAACCCTTCCCGAGAGTCTTAGAGCACCTGGCCTTTGTGCAACACGGTGGATAGTATTTGCAGTAGCAGAGGTCCAGCAGAATCCTATTAGCATGTTTGTTCTGGGCCAATGCCCATACTCTACTGGTTGCTAAATATTTGGAATAGCATCCTTTAAATCATGAACAAAGCAAACTATGATGTCTGGTTGTATTTTAAAAATATATATTCTTCCAGTCTTTCAAAATTACTTTTTGATGTAACTTATAGACAGGGGTATTATTTAGAGTTTAATACTTGATAGAGGAGATATCATCAATAATTTCAATCCTACAGGCATTTAAATACAAAGTTATATCATTCAATGTGATTGTTAAATTTTTGTATATACACACACACACACACATAGAATTGTATCTGAAGAATTAATAGTATGACATCTACTTTGACATCATCCTTGAAAATATATTATACTCTGATATTGAGAAATTTGCAGATTTTGAAGTAAGCCCTTCTCAAAATATTCTTACCAAGAAGTCTTTCAGCATAAAAGAGACAGTCTTTCATATTCAATCAATACACAATGCAATAAACTTCTGTGGACAAAACATAGGCTATGCTTGTGATTCAATTAGAAAAGTAATATTTCTGTTGAATTTTGTGTCAAAACAAAAGGAAGTTACAACAATGAGGAAGGAGAGGGGTGTGCTTCGCTGGAGAGTGAAATAATTAATTTTGAAGACATGCAGCTATATTGTACTTTATTTGAAAGCAAGCAAATGCAAATCTTTTTCTTCATCATTGTGAGAAAAGAACAGATGTTTCTATTTGACATCAAATATTTTTTCCTGAAAGCAAGTCTTAGGGACAGCACTAAAGTTGGTATCCATTTAATCCTACATCTATGTACTTAACTATAGCTGAAGCACTGTATAAAATAGGTGAACAGAAATTAGAAAAAATTAAGTAGTTTTATTCTATTAAACGGGTATAGAATTGTGAAATTCTTTAGAAAAGCATTCTATAGAAAAAAATTAAGTATTCTATTAAAAGGGCAGAGAATTGTGAAATTATTTAGAAAAGCGTTCTATAGAAAAAATTAAGTATTTTTATTCTATTAAAAGGGCAGAGAATTGTGAAATACTTTAGAAAAGCATTCTATCTAGAAATGTTTTTAAATACTCTGAGTCAGAGCTGTCTAATCGAACATTTTGTGATGGTGGAAATGGTCTGTGCCTGCATTGTTGAGTACAGTTGCCATTAGCCACATGTGGCCAGTGAGGACTAGAAATGTGGCCAATGTAAGATATAACCTGATTTTTTAAATTTCATTCATTTTTAATTATCTTAAATTGAGGTTTCAGTAGCCATGTGTGCCTAATATACTTTATTAGATGGCACAGCCCAAAATATTTAAACTTCAATTATCTGGAAACTCATTTAGGTGGAATGTCTCAATTCTGAATGATTATTAATAGTGGCATAATTTCTGTATTTGTGTTTTTAATCAAAAATTAATGTTGTGTGCTTTCAGATGCTTGCTCTAACGACCTTTAACATGTTAAAGATCATATATAAACAATACTGAAAACTGCAAAATTAAGACAAGTTCATTTCCAACCAAATCATATATGCATTGACAACAATGGTAGCAAACATCAGGAAAGCTTTGTTGTTGATCTTATATGCATATTGAGAGTTTCTCTTTTTACGTGAGACAAATCCCCAAGGGATCCTTAAAAACAAATATTTTTTTCTTCTCACAAAGCAAGTTATCCTTCCAATAAATTCTTAACCCATTAAAGTTACAAAAGAAAAAGCCAAGTCAGCAGATGTATCTATGCTTGTAAGGTATTCTTGACCTATTGTGTACTCACATTCAATCAACTAGTAGGAGCTTTGGTAACACTATTATTTTCAGCTCTACTGACAAATCAGTATCCTAAACTGAAATAAACCATGTGGTCTCAGCATGGTGAAATAGCTACAATAGCCATTTCTCTGGAGGGGTCTCTATGAGGGTTGGTCAAGTGTATGTCTCATGATATGACTTTTCTATTTGGTAATGTGTACGAAAAAATGCAGAAATCAAACTGTGGAAAATATTTTTAGAGATAAATAACTCTGTCATGCTTAATGTTGAACAAAATCAAACATCAGAATATTAATTAGTCTCCAAACTCATTTTTTAAGTATTTTTTCTAGCATTTACTTTATGTCTTAGTCTGTTTGGGCTGCTATAACAACATATCATAAACTGGGTGGCTTATAAACAACAAACGTGTTTCTCATGGTTCTGGAGGCCAGGAAGTCCAAGATCAAGGTTTAAGCAGATCTGGGGCCTGGTGAGGGCTTGTTCCCTATAAGAAGCAATTTCTTGCCATGTTCTCATGTGGTAGAAGAGGAAAACGAGCTCCCTCAGGTCTCTTTTATAAGGGCACTAATCCCATTCATGAAGGTTCCGTTCTCATGACCTGATCACCTCCCAAAGGTCCCACCTTTTAATAACATCACATTGGGGATTAGGCTTCAACCTGTGCATTCTGCAGGGGACACAAACTTTTGAACCATAGCACTTCATTCCTGAAATTTGTTCCATTTGTCTTTCCATTTCTCTCTCCCTTCTTTGTTCCAAGTCTTCTTTATTTTAATTTTTTTCTCTGACAAACTCCTTTCATCTGTGCTTTCTCTTATTTCCTCTTCAAATATTTTAAGTGGGAGACTTTTATAGGTCATATGTCTACTTTGATTGTTACCTGTGTTGTATTTTTAAATAGACTCTGAACAAATTAATATAAAAAATGCAGCTCTAAGAGAAAAGAACAAAATGTCAAATAGTAAATACATTTTGTAAATTGCAATCATGGAGAGACAACCTTTTTTGCATTGACACACATGGTCAGTTTTCAAGTATGTCATTGCCACTCATTGTAAAAATTACTTAATGATGCCACACAGCACACAGTCTCCAGTATGCTACATGCGTTATAAGCTCAGCCTCATTGCCCAGTCCCAGCAATTTTACTAAATTATAGTCTAGTAGTGAGATACAGAGAAGGAGAATAAGAGAAAGTTTTAGTTAGTATGACCTGGAAGCCAGAACAGACAAAATAGATACTAATTTGTTACATAAGTCTATAGAATTTTTGCAGTTAGAGGCAATCTTAGAAACCATCATTAGACAGATGAAGCTAATCTAAAGATGGGCCAAGTGACTCACGCGAAGTCAGGAAATAGTTAATGGCAAAGTTTGACTACTTAAATTTCAGGTCCTGTGTCTATGTTCCCATCACACTCTTACAAATGATATACACTTAAATGTAATCTGGGCCCTATGTTTGCCAATAAGATTAGAAAATACTCACTAGCCTAATGTGAGGTCAATTGGTTAACCAAATAGTTTAGGAAACACTAGCCTCATAGAAGGGTAAATATTCTCCATATCCTACATAGGTCAGGTTGGCTTAAAAACTGAACACGTGAAAAAATTCTAATTCTATATTAGGATGTTAGGATAAAAATAGTCTCAAACCTCATCTAGTCATCTTCTTCTATTGACTATATCTGCATTGTGGGCAAGACCCAAGCATACCTATGGGCTCTAAAAATGGTGGTTAGAGGACATCACCTAAATTTTCTTTCCTGTCAACTTTCCTTGAAGAGAATATTTCTTTTAGCTAGATGGTCAGATCCCTGAAATTTCTGGCACATCAAATGATGACAGTGTCTCTCAGCTGAGAGAAGCGGCCTCTTTGCTAAAAGGATTTGACTACCTGTTTGGGAGGCACCCTTGTCCCCTAGGTCATTTAATGATTTTCAGATGCTCAGACAAATATTTCCCTTGCTAATGCCGTGATGAGAGCTTTTGGCTAAAAAGTGTTTAGGATGAGATGTTGACCAGTGCCTCAGTATATTAACTTGCATCATCAGTTTGAATAGGGCAGACTCTTAGTCCTTCCAGGCTGTGATCACAAAACCCGTAAACTGGGTGGCTTATAAACAACGAATATGTATTTCTCACAATCCTGATAGGTGAGAAGTCCAAGATCAAGATGCAGGAAGATTCAGTGTGGTAAGTATTTGTTTCCTGGTTCATAGATGGTAACTTTTTTCTGTGTTCTCGCATGGTGGGGAGGGCAAGACAGCTCTCTGGGGTATCTTTTAAAAAGGCACTAATGACACTGATGAGAAGTCTCTACCCTTATGACCTATCACCCCGCAAAATGCTCCACCTCCTAATACAATCTTCTTGGTACAACGTATTAGTCTGTTCTCACGCTGCTAATAAAAATATACCTGAGACTGGATAATTTATAACGAAAAGAGGCTTAATGGACTCACAGTCCACATGGCTGGGAGACCTCACAATCATGGCGGAAGACAAAGGAAGAGCAAAGAGACGTCTTACATGGTGGCAGGCAAGAGAGCTGTGCAGGGGAACTCCTATTTATAAAACCATCAGATCTCATGAGACTTATTTACCACCATGAGGAAAGTATGGGGGAAGCTGCCCTAATGATTCAATTATCTCCACCTGGCCTCGCACTTGACACATAGGGATTATTACAATTCAAGGTGATATTTGGGTGGGGACACAGCCAAGCTATATCATATGGTATCCAACTCATTCTTAGGATTAGGATTTTAGGTTAGGATTTCCACGTATGCATTTTGAAGAGACACAAACATTCAAACCATAGCAGACAGAGTTTCTCAAGAGATACCTTATGGACATCTTGGGCCAAATAACTTTGTTGTGGTGGATGTCTTGTGCATTGTAGGAAGATTGCCCACATGCGTGGACTCTAGATGCCAGTAACACCCCTACCAGTCATGACAATAAAAAATGTCTCCAGACATAGCCAAATGTTCCCTGAGAGTCAGAATCTTTCTAGTTGGGAACCACTGTGGTAGGGAAATGGAGATGAAGTAACCTTTTTCTCTACCATTGTGTTTCGTGTGTTCTCATGGATTCTCATTGGTTCTAGCGATATTTGAGCAAACTGAACAGAAATGGGTCCCACCCTCAGCAACTTTATAGCCCAATGAGACAGTTAGGCATTAAGAAAGTAAGTGAATATAATTCTAGATTGTGATAAGAAAATGCTATGAAGAAAAATTAAAAAAGAAAGAGATTCATGGAGATCTTCTCAGCCTGGATAGCCAGGGAAGAGCTATCTGTCAAAGTGTTACAATCTGAATAATGAATGTGATTTATCTAAATGAATAGTATACCATGCTAATAAATTATTCCAAGTGAACAGGCGGCCGCTGAATGTCCAAAGTTTGGATGTTTAATACTCTGCAGCCATAAAAAAGGATGAGATTATATCCTTTGCAGGGACATAGATGGACCTGGAGGCCATTATCCTTAGCAAACTAACACAGAAACAGAAAACCAAATACCGCATGTTCTCACTTATAAGTGGGAGCTCAATGATGAGAACACATGGACACATAAAGGGGAACAACACCTACTGGGTCCTTTCAGAGAGTGGACGGTGGGAGCAGGGAGAGGATCAGGAAAAATAACTAATAGGTACTAGGTTTAATACCTGGGCAATGAAATCTGTACAACAATCCCCATGACACAAGTTTACCTATGTAAAAAACCTGCACATGTACCCCTGAACTTAAAAGTTAAAAAAAAAAAAAAAAAGATTCAAAGGCACTGGACTCTACTATTTGAAGTACAGACTTGCAAAAATTCTACATTAGTGCTTGGCAATAGCCCAGCAAAATGCACTTTGGCAGTGAAAATTAGCCACGTCGTAAAATCTGCAATTCGAATGTATTTACATTCACAACATTCAATCATTATTCTGTACTATCTATTGGGGCAGAGGCAACACTTTTCATGACCATTCTGGGTGGCCATTGCTGCTTTTTCTATCACAGCCATTTCAAGAGGCTGGGACCTGAAGCCCCAGTGTGTGCCTGAAGTCTTTGGAAGTGTTTCTAAGTCACCACAATACTAGCACAGACTCCCACTTCTATTCACGGCCACCTCTTATGCCTGGCCCAGATCCTCTTCATTTGTGATGGGCATGGGGCCTCACTCCATTGTCTTCAGTATAACCTTCATTATAATACAGTGCCTTACTGGAAGGAGGCCTTCAATGACTACATGTTGAACACATTATTTAACATATAAAAATGATCTCAACAGAATCAATAAGGTAACCACTTGTTAGAAATTTCTTTCTTTTTGTTGGGATTTTTTTTGTGGTTCTCTCTTAGAAACTCTTGCCACAGCTCTTCTTCATTCATGATTCTCCAGGCCTGGGCTGCACTCCACTGCCAGAGTCAGGTTGACCCTGTGACTCTGACACCATCTCCATCTCTCAGAAGGGCCTTGCTCTTTAAATTTTTAGTTCAACATGACCTTTGAAATGGTCAAGCTTTCCTCTGTCTATTTCCTATTCCTTATTTCCTTTTAAGTCTGTTAATAGGTTCCATGTTCAACTAATGGAAACTCTAGAAAAGAAAGTTTTAAGCATTATACATTTGTGTCATTATCAAAATAAGAATGTGCATCTGTAATCCTTCAAAGGTTAACTCTTTGGTTTCAGCCATAAAATGCAACTTGAGTCTTGATAACTGATGGAGAAGTATGTAGGGTAGGCATAGCACTTTTTTTTAATGCATGGAGTAGGAAATTCAAAGCGACATTTTTGATTATGTATGCATCAGCAACTGTGATTTATGGTACCTGTTTGTGTCTGTTACATGAGTGATGGGTTCTTACGCCAAAAATAAAGTTACTATATTCACACCTGAGGCCTGAGAAGTAACAGTTCAGTAAAAGAAGACAAGACTCTATAAAAAATACCAAAGAAATAAATACAATGAACACTTATAGCCTGTCTTCTTACCTAAGAACTTATTACTTTCTACCTTGTATTATTAATTTTGACAACTGTGCTTCTGCTCACAAACCTGTAAATTGCTGGGCTCTGCTTGCAGTGAAGCTACTACCTTCATTATAATACAGGACCTTACCGGAAGGAGGCCTTCAATGATACATGTTTAACAAATTACTTAGTATATATAAATGATCTCAACATAATCAATAAGGTAACCACTTGTTAGAAATTTCTTTCTTTTTGTTGGCATTTTTTTGTGGTTCTCTCTTAGGAGACTTTTGCTGAAGCTTAAATGCTTTAAAATAATTTTTAAATAATTAATTACTACAAATAAATGAGCTATTTAGCCTGAAATATTAAAGTGCTATTTCCAGAACTTATATTTCTGTAATTAAAATGCCAGTTTTGTTCTCTCCGGGCTCTGTTTAAGAAAAAAAAAAAAAGTGATTTTTTTTTTTTTTTTTTTTTTTTTTGAGATGGAGTCTCACTGTGTTGCCCTGGCTGGAGTGTGGTGGCGTGATCTCATCTCACTGCAACCTCTGCCTCCTGGGTTCAAGTATTCTCCTGCCCCAGCCTCCTGAGTAGCTGGAACTACAAGTGTGCACCACCACACATGGCTAATTTTTGTATTTTTTGTGGTTTTGCCTTGTTAGCCAGGCTGGTCTCGAACTCCTGACTTCAGGTGATCCACCTGCCTTGGCCTCCCAAAGTGCTGGGATTACAGGCGTGAACCACTGCGCCTGGCCAAAAAAAAGTGATTCTTAAATGCAGATGCCTTGGTCAATTTATGTATGTTTGAGATATAAATTATAATTCAGAAGTATGAAGGTGCCAAGATCACTATGGGAATTAAATATGATATTTTAAGAGATTTTGAGAGGCTTATTTTCTATATATGAATGGATAAAGTCAACCACAGTTAGAAACATCATTTATCTGGGTAACATAATTGTGATTTCATCTGTAAAGTCAAATACAAGGCAGCATTATGTGGATTAACATTTTTTTCCATATTATAGAAACAGTGTTAAGGAGGAATCTTAGTCAAATTCCATTTTTTTAAGAGACAAAACAAAATAAAACTGTGATTGAGAGTTCAAAGTCCTTAACTCACTAGTAGCAGAACTGGGTCGTGTTTATGAACTTTTCTCTTCACTGTACTCACCACCATGCATTCTAACCATGAAAGCAATTGTAGTTCTACAGCACCACAATCCATGCTAGTGCTGATACGAGAAACCTAAAATGAAAGGGAAATCATATGTAACATTGTGTTGATTGATTGAAATGTGTGACTAGATTCAGAAGTACAAGCCAGAAGTTTGGGGAACCTTACTTCTGAGAATGGGCCAGTTCTGACTCTCAGTCAAGCCTAAAGTTTGTTGCTCAGTTGGAAACAAAAGCATGGATATGATTGTCCGGAGAACCCTGTTGCTGAATAACAAAGAGGCATAAGCAGAAAGGAGAATTCAGAAGCACAACATAATCTAAATTTGATTTATGGCAGTGTGCAGTCTGGATGTCTCCAGCTTGTGGTTTCAGCTTCTACTTCTCAAGTAGAGAAGCTGGATGGTGGTAAAATACAGCAGGCTGAGGAGGGCCAGACTGGAGTTGAGATTTTCTGGACTATGAACTCTGGGTGTGGGGTGTATCTTGAGAGGCATACTGGCCACAAAGGGCGGCCGGAGGGAAAAACAAGTTTTGCATGCCCATGCTCTGTTCAGAGTCCAAGAACTAACATCTGTTTAGTTTTGGAAACACAGGCTGGCTCTGAGTATGGGGATTTAGAACAGCAGAAAGGTCAACATTGTATAGGAGAGACTCAATGTTTTCACAATCGATTAGGAGCTTAGAAGAATTGGGGTGGCAAGACTAAGAAGTGAGCTGCAAGGATCTGAATGAAAAGGGCTGTCAGGCCAAGGCCCATCAGCGAAGGCAGAGAGGAACTGGCCAGAGACCAGGGCAGGAAGTGTGGCTCACAATTGGAAAGCAGTGTCAGAGGAGTAAGAGATGAATGAAACATGGATTAGGATTAGGATTAGGAGCTAACGGGTACAGAACCAGGACACAAACACAAAATCTAAGAACTACCAGTCAATCCTGGAATATGAAAACAAATGTCATGGGGATCAGAATTTTGTCTCAAGGGAACTGTAGTGTTGCTGCTTAGAAGTGCAACTGATCCCATAAGTGGGGAAAATGAGACACACACAGAAAAGTATAGGACAAGAGGCCTGACTGTTTCCTATTCTCATCCCTTCATTCTTGTTGACACAGATTTTGATTGAGGTTTGAAGTTTACCATCAGAACCATATCTTTCCTAGAAACAGAGAAACTACCCAATAAGTAAAATCAACTACAGTATCCTCCTTGTAGTTTTGTCATTATTTCTCATTAGTTTTATTTCACTTATTTAAGTAGCAATGAAGGGATAGGCAGTAGATGACAAAGTTACTACTATAGGAGCACTCTGAGGCATTATCCTTCCTCACCACTAATGCACTTCTGATTTTTTTCCTCTGTTCTCCTCTCTTATTTAGTCTTTTACATATAATTTGGGTTTTACAGGCAATGTCTCACAGAGTCAGTGGCCACTGTGACTGCTTCTTATCCTCATTAGAGCAATCACTAATTTAAAATCAGTCACCATTTGAAAACTTTTAAAATTATGTCACAAGACTGTAGGATATTTCAAGATAAGGGGCTAGTACTCCTCACTCATATATATCCGGTCTTGGCATTGGGAATCATTAGCCAAGTTAGGAGCTCTCCAGCTGGCCCATTGCAAAGCAATGCAGACAGAGGGAAAGTTGAGGCACCTGCCTGGTTCACTGGGTTTGATTGCTTACTAATCCTTCACTTAACCTGGAACCTCCTTGCTCAACCTCTTGGCTCAGGTGCTGGGGAGAACACAGGTTGGCAAGATGCAAGTTCTGCCTTGCAAGCATTTTTCTCCTGTATATGCACACACACACACAGACACACACACACATATATGTGTGTATATACAGGAGAAAATGCTTGCAAGGCAGAATTTGCACACATATGTATGTATACATACACACACATACACATATATTTTATATATACATATACATATATATTTTATATATACATATAAATATATAATATATAATAGAAAACATAAACATACATATATGTATATATTATATGTGTATAATATATGTACATATATGTAAAATATATATGTATAATATACATATATATCCATGAGAATGCCAGAAACAATATATGTATAATATATACTATGTAATATATAATATATACTATATAGGTATATATGTTCATATTTATAATATATATGAACATATTTATTCACTGCTTAAATTTCCACTGTTACCATGTGCCTGGAACAGCTTAGACATAACTATTTGCTTTTGAGTAGACTGACCCTAGAAACACCATACTGTATTCAAAACAACTAGTTTCTAATCATGGAATTAAGACACTAAGGTGGAACCATTTCAGACTGGAAGTCATTTTGAGGTTCACACTGAAGCTATTTCGTATATATCTCATTATATATACATATCTTATGTATACATATATAGTATACACATCTTATGTATACATATATAGTATACACATCTTATGTATACATATATAGTATACACATCTTATGTATACATATATAGTATACACATCTTATGTATACAATATAGTATACACATCTTATGTATACAATATAGTATACACATCTTATGTATACAATATAGTATACACATCTTATGTATACTATATAGTATACACATCTTATGTATACTATATAGTATACACATCTTATGTATACTATATAGTATACACATCTTATGTATACTATATAGTATACACATCTTATGTATACTATATAGTATACACATCTTATGTATACTATATAGTATACACATCTTATGTATACTATATAGTATACACATCTTATGTATACTATATAGTATACATATCTTATGTATACATATATGTATACATATCTTATGTATACTATATAGTATACATATCTTATGTATACAAATATGTATACATATCTTATGTATACAAATATGTATACATATCTTATGTATACAAATATGTATACATATCTTATGTATACAAATATGTATACATATCTTATGTATACATATATGTATACATATCTTATGTATACTATATAGTATACATATCTTATGTATACTATATAGTATACATATCTTATGTATACTATATAGTATACATATCTTATGTATACTATATATATAAATAAAATAAAAAACAGGAAATTGCTTGGTGCCAAAGCACAGAAGAGGAAGATAATAATTTTGAGGTATTTGAACTGGACTTTGAAGAATAGAAAGTTTTTTTTTTTCCCTAAAGCAGTGAAAACAGTTGAAAGGCCAGAATGATTTATTTCAAGTGTTACCTTTAAAAGAATATTAATACTTGACAGTCTCTTCACATATATGCCTGTTTCTTTTCTTTCAAAAAAACTAACCCCATGACTAGAATTTTGATCTACTTTTGCCTTTTTTTTTCTTTTTTAGTTTAAGATAAAATAAATAGTCTAACATCTGTAACATATCATGGCTGAATTTGGTTATACACAACATGCTTCATTTTCATATCATATCTTACTTGAGTTTAAACCTGCTTTTCATATTTTACTCCTTTCTGTTACTCAATTCAAAAGTATTTGCCATGAATGACTTCATAACCATACATTTTAGATGGTCTGCTTGGGATTTTTTTTTGCCTTATATTTTTCTATTGGCTTATTTTCCTTTATTTTAATATACACACATTCCCTTAATGTTGATTTCTTCACGCTGACCTGTACCCCTCCCTTAAAATTTATTGCCAGAGATGAAATGCCCTTGATAATCTTCACCTTAAGATTCACTCCCCTCTCTGAATTACTTCATTTGGTTTTCAAAACTAAAACTTATAAGAAATCTCAGACTCGCAGGACCCTAAATATAACATTAGTAATGCAAGAGAGATAAAACATATAAAAGCAGGCATACTCAAAAAGATACAGTACAAAATACTGAAAGAATTAACAGAATGAGAAAAGGAAGCATTAAATTCACATCAAAGAAAGCTTTGAACATTAAAGCAAATGAAAGTGAGGGGAAGAAATCTATATGGAAGCCAAACAATCACTGCTTCCTGACAGCTGCAGTTATTAATTAGTGTTCCATCATTTGCACTAAATGGTCAATCAATACTTTTGCTTCTCTGGAAGGCCATTTGCTTTGTAGCTTGCTTCTTAATGGGAAATGATTCAGCTTGTCCCCTTCTTTGTCATTCTGTCCATAACTACCAGCTTGGCAGAGAGTTCGTAAGCTGTGCTGGCTCTAGATAAGGGTAAGAATTTTGTCTCCAGATTTCAGTTCTCTCCTGCCCAACCACCTCACCTGCAATCTATTGTTTATATTGTTGCTATGTATCTCTATTCTTTCTGCATCAAATAATGAATAGCTCATTTTGTGTTGCCTTCAAGTATGACAAATTCCTTTCCAAATGTGATTCCAGACAGTATATCCAAACATGTCTTTCTTTTCCCATTCCTGATCATCCTACATGTCAAGCACTGCCAACGTTTACTCAAGAAAGCTTGGTTAGAACCCAGCCTCTAGAAGCAGTAGATTCCTACTCATTCCTGACTCTTTTAGCCACTTGTCGTATGGCATGAGCAGGTGTCTTAACTTCTCTATTTATGTCATCACCTCCTGTTTCCTATCCACAGAGCTAATACCTAGCTCAGAGCATTATTGTAAAAATAAAATGAACTAGCATATGTATATAAAAAGTAAGGTGGTTACCTGGGGATTGGAAGACACTTCCATCATATTTGTTAAGTGAATGGCATAGAGCAAATAAAAAAAAATTGACTCATTATTCTTATTATTCTTTTATATGATTACTGCTCTCTCCTGGAGTGCACTTCTCTGCCTGACTCACCCTTTAAGATACATCTCATATAGAAACTCCACATGAAAGCCTTCCGTGACGCATGATCATGGCTATTCACTCCTCTATTCTGTCACAGTCCTTTGTGCATTTCTCTTCATAGCTCTCACACTTCATTTCACCATACTGCACATCTGATTGCTTTACTAGACTCTGAGAATCACTGTTGCTAGAACGTATTTGTTCACTGCTTACATTTCCACTGTTACCATGTGCCTGGAACAGCTTAGACATAACTATTTGCCTTTGAGTAGACCAACCCTAGAAACACCATACTATATTTAAAACAACTAGTTTCTAATCATGGAAGTAAGACACTAAGGTGGAACCATTTCAGACTGGGAGTCATTTTGAGGTTCACAGTGAAGCTATTTCATATCTAAACCTCAGGTGAGATGATATTTTTTTGTAAACTTAGGGTTAACAAACCTATTTATAATTATTGTGTTAACACAATGCTTCATGTACTACTGATTTTTCTTGAAGTGTATACCTATAGGAAATAGAAATGTCCATGGTCATAGGAACATAGAATCAGACAAAAGTTTTCGAGTTAAGATAACTAATTGGAAATCATATGGACATAAGAATTAAATAAAAATGGGTTATTTCTAGAGATATATATGTAACTAAGAAAAAACAAAGATAAACAGATACTTGATGGCACATTACTGAATTTCAACAATATTCCTTCAAAATAAGTGACAAGAGATAGTATAGTCACTGTGATATATGGTCCTGTCCAGTGACGTTCTGGGCCCTAGGTCTAGACCCATTATTTGGGTTACCAGAGGTTAGGCGCTTAACCTCTTTCTTTGCTAGTTTTTTCATCTGCAAAACAGGATTGAATAACACTCTTACCTACTCAGGTAATTCCTACCCTATGAGAAGGGAAAGAGATAAAGCAAGTACAAGTATTTTTATACTCTAAAACTCTATAGAGGCCGGGCGTGATGGCTCACACCTGTAATCCCAGCACTTTGGGAGACTGAGGCGGGCAGTTCACCTGAGGTCACGAGTTCGAGAGTAGCTTGGCCAACATGGTGAAACCCCGTCTCTACTAAAAATACAAAAATTACCCGGTTGTGGTGGTGGGCACCTATAATTCCCAACTACTCAGGAGACTGAGGCTGGAGTATTGCTTGAACCCAGGAGGGGGACATTGCAGTGAGCAGAGATCGTGCCATTGCGCTCTAGCCTGAGCAACAAGAGCGAAACTCCATCTCAAGAAAACAAACAAACAAAACTCTATGGAGTCAAAGATACTGTGAAATACAGCAAGTCCCTGGGCCTTTGGTGACTCTGTATATTAACAGAGGGCTCTCATTCAAGACCTTATCTATTGTCCAGCATTATTTGTCTACTATGATATTCATCTTTTCAGGACCTAATCCAGCTGGACCTCTACTTTTTTAATGGTTCTAGTTTTGATTTGTATACAGTTTCAGCAGCAAACTCCCTACAGGCCATACACTAGATTCACGTCCATTTGGCACTGAGGAACAAAAGAAAATCACCCTACCTAAAGTGATGGGGAGCAAAATATTGCTTTTGATGAATCACTAATATAGTTTTATCTAGCTACAGTTTTGTCAAAAAGAGACTATTGTTGCAAACCAAGTTAAATAGTTTTTTAAAATATTTTTTATTGTAGCCTAATGAAGATTACTTAATTGCCTGTTTAAAGGACTTGGTGGAAAAATATGTGAACCACAGCTTTAGAGGCCCATGAGCTTTGGGCAGTCTATGTCATGTTCATCTCCTTATCCCCATTGTTGGCTCCAAAACTCTGTTAGAGTGTTCAGCAAGTGTTAAACTGCTCCTAATAATGCCTAAGTCACAGTGTTGGATCTCAGGTGGTGCAGACTTACCTATCCCAACTTGAGAGAAGAATGAGCAGCCGCCATAGGTCATTAACATGCCGCCTGCATCATTCACTTACCCACTAAATTGAGGTACAACCAGATGGAAAGAACATGGGTTTTTGGCACATGGGACTGGATACCTGAAGTATGGAACTCATTCCTAAACAATGGCTGGAAGCTTTGGGTAGATTCCCTGACCTGAGAATTGTATGGCGCATTGTTAGGAAAGCTAAGTCTGCAGGAAAAAAAAAAAAAAAAAAAGGCATGTTTTGGGGTCCTGGCTGTGCTGTAAGCAGGACAAATTCTTAGGATTTCTGGTGCTAATTGAGTGACCTTATACATACCATTTCCCCTCCTGGGGCTAAAAGAAGATCAGAGAGGATCAAAGAAATCAGTGGTTTAAAAAAACTCAAAACAAAACAACTTGAGACCCTAAAACAGTATTTGGCCTTTGGAGGTTTTTGTTTAATAAGTTTAAATTGTCCCCAAAGTGTTTCTAAAAGGCAGGTTGTGCTTTGCTGCAATACAAACACCTTTGTTTCTGATGCCACACAGCAGGCTTGAGAGAAGCATTGGTGTTGTATTTGCCCTTTGTACCCATCTATGTTTGACACTCATTGACCAAATAGGTTAACATTTTAGGAGTCTATCATTCTATAAACCACCTGAGTGACCTAGAACAAGTAACTGAATGTCTCCAAGCCCCAGATTTCTCATTTCTCCCTTGGAGATGGCCATTATAATATCTGCCTACCTATGTCAGTGGTTATTATGATCAAAGGAGATCAATATGTGAGCATGCTTTGCAATCTTTAAGCAGGAAGAAATGTTCATTAGTGAGGAAGGATAAAGCTTAAGCGGGAGCTTGGACTAGATAACTGCTAGACAAGGTCATACCTCTATTATGCAGTTACAGTATTTGATAATAAAATGTCTTTAATAATCAGGAAAATTAAAATAAATGGGGGCCTCAATTATATCTAGAAAGATATTCAAGAAGACAGACTCTCATTAGAGGAGAAGTCTGTGGCAAGAGGCAAACAACTCCAAGATTGGTTTCTTAACTGGTTGTGAAATTGCCTCCGTTTATCCCATAAGCAGACCTCCCCCTGAGTGGATTTCCTTAAGAGAGGTTATATAGGTGAAAGATCCTTATGCCTGGCAGCATATTATTTAGAAATAGTCCACTTTAAATTGCCATGGAGAGAACCACCAAAAGATGCAGAGAGCTGTTTGTGTCACAAATGTTAAGCTATAATCTCACTTTCAGATTTAACCTAGTTTTCTTTGGGAGGCCGAGGCGGGTGGATCACCTGAGGTCAGGAGTTCAAGACCAGCCTGGCCAACATGGCAAAACTCTGTCTCTACTAAAAAATTAAAAAAAAAAAAAAAAAAGCCATGTGTGGTGGTGGGTGCCTGTAATCCCAGCTGCTCAGGAGGCTGAGGCATGGAGAATTGCTTGAACCTGGGAGGTGGAGGTTGCAGTGAGCCAAGATCACGCCACTGCACTCCAGCTTGGGCAACAGAGTGAGACTCTATCATAATGTTATTAAACATGTAAAAGAAGCATCTGACAATAATTTCAAATAAGCTGCTTAATTTTACAAAGGCATTCCATTCCTGTTTTGGCACTGCCATTGGTCATCCATGTGACTTTGAGAAAACTACTAACACAAATAAAAAATAACAAATTTAACTTAGTTTTATTTAACTCACCTTGGTTTTATTCATTGAGTAGTGATGATGATGGCAAGACTGGGGAAATGGTAGAAACTTATATTAATTGAGGTTTTTTTTTGTGCCAGGGACGCCACACAGCTCTTTAGCATTTCATAAAGTATCCCAATGATCCTGGAAGTTGAGTAATGCATTATCCCTACCTTACAGATGATTCATCCGAGGCACATTTGTGTTAGCATTTTGTTCAAAGTCACACGGATGACCAATGGCAGTGCCAAAACAGGAATGGGATGCCTTTATAAAATTAAGCAGCTTATTTGAAATTATTGTCAGATGCTTCTTTTACACCTTTAATAACATTATGATGGTATGAAAACACATTTTAGGCAGCAGCCAATAAACTTCAATATAATAACAATTACCATCCTGATTTGATACAGAAGCCTCCAACTTCAGGTGTTCTTTTAATATTCTATATGCTAGTCGATTTTGTTTACCATACGCATAGTTATAAACAGTCAGTGCACATGTTGTTGACTGACCTAAATATTTACACTGTCACATATTATTAAAATCTCAGTGCTTTTCTCCAATTCTGTAAGATTAATTGTCTACTAACCAATGAAATAATTTGAATTTCTACTTTTCTTCTTATAAGCTTAGGCTAATTTCTATCAAAGAGAAGTTTCTCAAAAATGAGGACTGGAATAAAAGCTTCTGTGGCTTGTTCACAGCCTCATTGACTGGAAGAATTGTGTCTCTTGGTGGGTAACTGTGCATGGGGTGCTAAGGACTGCTTGGAGTCTAAGTGGGAAAATGGCATTCTGTGACTGGGAACCTCTGTTCCTTAAACCTTTTCTGTTTAATTAGAAGGAAGGATGTCCCATTTTATCCTCACTTAAAGAGCAATGAAATGATTAAAAATAGTGTTTTAATTTCACAACTTAGGAGCAATAAATAATTTTGAGTCTCTGGCTGTCACTATCAGTTATCGCTCAACTTAATATTGTTGAAGTTTAGATAAGGACAGATGGTTCTCTCTTCTCAGTATTAGTTCTGTTGCTTGGCAGTTAATTACCTGCTACTGTGACTCCCTCTCCCATCACCAAGAAATCATAAAAACAGAAAAAGTAACGGTATCTTTCTCCAAGAAGTTTGCTTTGTCTCATGGATTGGTTCCTTTGACAGTTTTTTATTTGAGAGGGCTCCTCTTCGTGTTCCTAATATGCCAAAGTTAAGCATGCAACCTCGGTCTTCATGTTCACAAGTTGAAATGGGCGTGTGCTTCTTTTACAATTATGTCCAATACGCTAACTGAAAGTAGAACATGCCTTTCTCCTAGGGGTTTTCAAATTCATAGGATGGTTTACATTTATTAGCTTCTGAAGTAAGGAAGATTTCTCTTACAAAAATAAATCACTCTATTTTTTGTTAAATTGAATCTACTTTGTTCCCCACCCAATGTTGATGCAATAAGGAGAATTTTATTTGTTCTATGACTTTTCAATTCTTGCACCTGATTTGGAATATCACATCATTCTGTCTGCCCCTTCGGTCTTGTTTTATTTGAATCTTTCAGCCCAACAGTCAGCTTTGCTGAGGCTACAAAGAAATGCAGTGCCACCAAAATATGAGAGAATAACTAAGCTGGACATTTCACAAGGCTGCTGATGTGAGAAAATACAATTTTAGCAAGTTTTAATCTATGTCCCTAAACAATCTTAAGTTGAAAATATTGAGAGAAGTATAACAGTAGGAGACAATGTTTTGCCTAATTTTTTCAGACTTCAAATTAGTGAATCGAAATCATGTTAAAAATTTGCAATTTCAGTTCACAGGCAGATTTCTAGATTTTAATATATAACAGACAAACCACTTCAGCAATTACTTTTGCTTGCACTGTGGTTTTTGAGAACATTGGAGTTTTTTCCATATTTTCCATTATCTCTGAGTTTTTCACTGAATTTTGCTATCTTTACATATTCTTTCTAATTGAAAAGGGATAATTTGTTCGTCCTTGAATTCAGTTTTCAAAGACATCTGAATATTTGAAATTCACTTCTCTTTCTCCATTTTTTTTTTGATGTTATCCTCTCTGTGTTTTCTTTTTAAGGAAAGGTAACCTTTTGATTTTGTTGTTTATTTTTTGAAAACTATTGTTTCAATTATGAAACAGAGATAGGAAATAATAATCCGATAAATGTCCAAAACTATCATTATATAGCATGACATTCAGTAAATACCCAGTAGGAGTGCTGGCTTACATTGCAGAAAGACCTGCAGAGACCCAAATGTTGAAGCATTGAAAGAGCTGAATACATTGGACTGAATACATAGAATTCTTCCCTAAAAAACAAGGGAGGCAAGTACTGTTTTTTTGGTTTGTTTGTTTTTTCTCAGTTTTCACCACTAATTTGCTTATAAAGGAAAGAAAATTTGAGTTTCTGTGGACTCTTGTTTTATTACATTCATACAAAACTTTTTTTTTTCCAGTTATTTCACAAGAAAGAAGGTGTTTAGTTGTCCACAAAGGACTATGCCTCTGGTTTGGTGCAATTTCTGGTTTTAGTAGTTCTTATCCCTATTGTCTACTCCAAAATGCTGTCAGCACAGTTTCTCCAGCCCCATTTATCATCCTGTAGAGTAGTACCTCTTTACTGGCTCACTTTCAAATACCTGAGTTTGCTAATGTTGCAGCTTTCCACGTTACAAAAGACCCTGGTAGCCTCCCTAGAGAAGGCAATTATCTATTATGCTTAGGGGACACAAAAGTAGCTCACGGAGGGAAGTGCCTACATACTCTGCTCATGCTGAGGCTGACCTAAATCAATTTCAGATGCCTATAAGTAAAAATTGAGCTCTGTATATAAGGTTAAAGCTGCCACATTTTTATTAAAGAATTATCCTTCTAGGATAACTGCAAATGTTGAATAATTTTCATGGTGATTACAATGTTCAAAGGAACTCCAAAATAAAAAATAGAAATGACACCTATTTTGGAGTATCTTACTTCCATTTCCATTCACTGTCTGTTACGTTTTCACTCTTTATTATAGATTGTATGTCTGTCTTTGGTTTGGTTCTTTCAGTCTTATGATGTGTTAATAAACTATTATAGACTATGTAGAGGATGTAATCATTAAATACAGAATACAAACAAAACTAATCTTTTGAAAGCTATTATTTAGAGAAAGAGCTAGAACCTATGTAAACATATATATATTCTATATATATACTCTCTATATATATTCTATATATATACTCTCTATATATTCTATATATATACTTTCTCTATATATTCTATATATATACAGTATATATATAGACTATATATACTGTATATATATAGTCTATATATATACTCTATATATTATATATACTCTATATATTCTATATATATACTCTATATTCTATATATATACTCTATATATATACTGTCTATATATATTCTCTATATATATTCTCTCTATATATCCTATATATATTCTCTTTATATATTCTATATATATATTCTCTCTATATATTCCATATATATATTCTCTATATATATTCTCTGTATATATTCTCTATATATATTCTCTATATACTCTCTCTATATTCTCTATATACTCTCTATATATTCTATATATATTCTATATATATTCTATATATGTATTCTATATATATTCTATATATACATTCTATATACATTCTATATATACATTCTATATACATTCTATATATACATTCTATATACATTCTATATACATTCTATATATATTCTATATATACATTCTATATATATTCTATATATACATTCTATATACATTTTATATACATTCTATATATATTCTATATACATTCTATATATATTCTATATATACATTCTATATATATTCTATATACATTCTATATATATTCTATATACATTCTATATATATTCTATATACATTCTATATATATATTCTATATACATTCTATATATATATTCTATATACATTCTATATATATTCTATATATATTCTATATACATTCTATATATATACTATATACATTCTATATATATATTCTATATACATTCTATATATATTCTAAATACATTATATATTCTATATATATATTCTATATATAGTCTACATATATATTCTATATATAGTCTACATATATAGACTATATATAGTCTATATATGTAGACTATATATAGTCTATATATATATTCTACATTTATATGTGTGTGTGTGTGTGTATATATATATATATTTTTTTTTTTTTTTTTGAGATGGAACCTGGCTCTGTAGCCCAGGCTGGAGTGCAGTGGCACGACTTCAGCTCACTGCAACCTCCACCTCCTAGGTTCAAGCAATTCTCCTGTCTCAGCCTCTGAGAAGCTGGGATTACAGGTGCCGGCTACCATGCCTGGCTAGTTTTTTTGTATTTTTAGTAGAGACAGGTTTTCACCATGTTGGCCAGGCTGGTTTTGAACTCCTGATGTCAGGTGATCCACCTACCTTGGCCTCCCAAAGTGCTGGGATTACAGGTGTGAGCCAGCATGCCCAGCCCTCCTGTGTAAACATATTAAACGATAAGGTGCTCACTATTTTCTGAGCTGTACAACAGGAACAATTGCTGAAAAGAATGGTACCTGAACCCTGTATTGGGTGACCATTGGCCTTTTGTGTCCTGTGATGGGTAGGGCTTGGCCTAGGACTTCCAGACACTAATACCCTGGGGTAGAATGCAGGCAATTAGTAATTAATTGCACTGATGTGTCTAACATGTTGTAGTAGTGGCGATTATTGCTCCATTTAATTCGATGAGTAATTTAGACATTAATGCAAAGTTTTAGAAGTAGCAGCAATCATTTATATTATCCTTTCTCAATACATTAATAGTTTAGGAATTTTCATTCTGTGGCTGGTTGGTGAGATGAGATGAGGCCAATGAAAACTCCTTGGCCCAGGGGATTGGAGATTTGAAATATTTACTATGTAAGTGACATTGTTAGAAAACACTAGGCATTATGCCAAAATTACAATTATGGGTTAGTGTTATGGACTGAATTGCGTCCACACACACACAAAATATATATATATATATACACGTTGGCGAGGTGCAGTCGCTCACGCCTGTAATCCCAGCACTTTGGGAGGCCGAGGCGGATGGATTACGAGGTCAGGAGTTCGAGACCAGCTTGTCCAACATGATGAAACACTATCTCTACTAAAAATACAAAAATTAGCTGGGCATAGTGGTGGGCATCTCTAAGCCCAGCTACTTGGGAGGCTGAGGAAGGAGAATTGCTTGAACCTGGGAGGCAGAGTTTGCAGTGAGCCAAGATTGTGCCACTGCACTCCAGCCTGGGTGACATAACAAGACTCCATCTCAAAAAAATTTTCTTAATAAACATATATGTTGAAGTCCTAAACCCTACTCCCTGTGAATGTAAGGTTATTTGCAGATAGGGTCCTAGCAGATGTAATCAAGGCAAGATGGGTGTTGGGGTAGGCACTAATTTAAGTTGACTGGTGTCCTTACAAGAACAGAAAACACCATCTGGCAATGGAGATACAGTGAGAAGATGGCAATGGGAAGATAGAGGCAGAGGTGGGAGTGCTGCAGCCACGAGACAAGAAACAACTGGGGCCACCAGAAGCTAGAAGGGGACAGGAAGGATCTGAGAGCTCATGGTCCAGCCAACATCTTGAGTTAGATTTTAGACTTCTAAACTCCACAATTCTGAACCAGTAAACTTCTACTGTTCTAACTCACCCGATTTGTGGTACATTACTATAGCAGCCCTAGGGAACTAAAGGAGTTAGAAACCTTTTCATACTTATTTAGACTTACTAAAATTATACCTATCACAAAATATTCACAAATTGGTTCAAAGAAGTTGATCAGAATGATGATATATATAGCCAACGGTTACATTCAATTAATAAACTACAAATGAGAATTATTGTTACTAATGACTCACCTGGGAAGAACTATTAAGGTAATTTAAAGAACACACTTTATATTTAGAGAAATTAGCTAAATGGTCAATGCAGTTCAATCAGTAGTTTTCTTATATTTACTATTTCCCAGGAACTGTAGCAAAAACAAGGATACAAAGATAAATAAGAGAAGACATTATGAAAGTTGGTTCTCTATGAAATAATAACCAGGTATTTTCTTTTAGAATTCTTGTGTGAAACTTCAGAATTCTCTATAGGCTATTGCATTTTGTTCCCAATGCTCAGGTCTTATAGTAGTGTGCTTGCCAGATAAAATATGGAGGTCCCCGCTGAATTTAATTTATTGAGGCTTTTTTGTTTTGTTTTGTTTTGTTTTGTAGTAATATGTCCTGTGCACTCGTTGGGACATACTTATGCTAAAAAAGTTGTTTTCTGGAATTCAAACGTTACTACCTGCCCCACATTTTCATTTGCTAGATGTTGCAGCCTGGGTAGTAGTGAAAGTCATATGCAAGATATCAAAGGTGAGAAACTGAAGAATCAACACTTGGAAGTGGCTACATTCCTACAATCTCACTTATTGCCAATTTGCTATCTCAAGGGGCTTATAACAATTTTCAGTCATCTGTAGTACTTAAGTCTTAGGAATATTTTGGTGATTAAATGAAGTAGTACATTGTAAGTGTTAGAACAGTTACTGTTGAATAGTTAGGGCCCTGTAACTGTTCGTTTTTATTTTTTTTTCCCAAATCAGTGTAATGCATAGTAGAGCATTTTCCTGTATTTTGAATGAGGATACAAGAGATGGCCACATGTGTACATTTGCTAACAATGTCTAATCTATTTGTCAATACTGAAAGACACATCTTTGAAAAAAGATGGGTCTTGTTCCGTTTGGTTTTAATCACTTTGTAAGATTCCAGTTCAGTGCCTGATGAGCCTCTGACTTTAGAAGCATGCTGTTAAATCTAAACTTTTTTTTTTTTTTTTTTTTTTTTTTTTGAGACAGAGTCTCGCTCTGTCGCCAGGCTGGAGTGCAATGGTGAGATCTCTGCTCACCGCAACCTCCGACTCCGTGGTTCAAGCAATTCTCCTGTCTCAGCCTCCTGAGTAGCTGGGATTACAGGCGCAGGCCACCATGCCCAGCTAATTTTTGTATTTTTAGTAGCGACAGCGTTTCACTGTGTTAGCCAGAATGGTTTCAATCTCCTGACCTCGTGATGCACCTGCCTTGGCCTCCCAAAGTGGTGGGATTACAGGCGTGAGCCACCATGCCTGGCCTAAATCTAAACTTTTATGTGTCCAGTGTATTAGTTCTTAGGGCTGCTGAAACAAAACCACAGATTGGGTCACTTAAAACAACAGAAATGTATTCTCTCACAGTGTGGAGGTTAAAGTCTGCAACCCAGATGTTGGCAGGGTTGTTTTTTCTGGAGGTTCTGAGTGACTCTGTTCCCGGCCTTTCTCCTGGCTACTGGCGGTTGCTGTTAGTCCTTCGTGGACCTTCACTTGCAGGCTTATCACTCCAGTCTCGGCCTCCATGCTCACTCACATGGTGGTCTCCTCATTGTGTATATCTGTGTCTCTTCTTACAAGGACACTGGTCATATAGGATTAGGGTCTGCCCGAATCCAGTATTACCTCATTTAGCTTCATTTCATCTACAAAGACCCTATTTCCACACTAGGTTTCATTCACAGATGCTGACAACTAGTAAAACAACCTTTGCAGACATTATAACAGTGAGAAAATTATGGCAGTGAAAGAGATCTGATGTAATCAACCTCCATTTTGCCTTTAGCCTTCAAACTGCCCTTAATTATTCCTGGGTTTGGGACAAGCTAATTTGGGGAAATATTTAGTTTATAGTTAAATGATAATAGCCCTTCTCAACCACCTTTGTAAAGCTAATGAGAGACCACCAGGTTTAAAGGATGAGAGGAACTTAAATTCTGCTACGGTGTAGACATAAAGGATTACCCACCATTATTTCAAAGGTCACAAGATACACAACTTCTCTAATTACTCCTGCAGATAACATCACTATTTGTAGAACCAAAGATTGGCCTTTCCAGATGTCTTTTCAGGTTTTTTTGCATGCACATCTGATGATGGATGGCTCCACCTGGACCCACTAATCACTCCAGTGACCCCACCCCGAGGGACTCAGCATGCGGGAGGAACATCTTCCATTCCCCTGGGATTGCACCCCCAACCAATTAGCAAGCTCCCATTGCCAGGTCACCCCCTTTCTTCCACCAAATTATCCTTGAAAAACCCTAGCCTCTGAATCTGGGGGAAGACTGATTTGAGTAATAATAAAATTTCTGTCTCCCGTTCAGCCAGCTCTGCATGAATTAAGCTCTTTATTTCAATTCCCCTGTCTTGATAAATTGGCTCTATTTGGGCAGCAGTCAAAATGAACCCATTGGTCAGTTATACTAGGCTTTCAACATACTTTGGGTGGACACAATAAGGACCAGTGGCTATACTTCAGGGGTATTTTGAAAACCTCAACGATTACATTTTATATTAATAGGCATCTTTTTTAACATTTAAGGTATTCTCTACAGTGTATCATTGGTATAGAGAAACAAAGGTTTTCTTTCAAAAAGTGTTTTCCTCAATATTTCTAGAACATACATTTAGGAACTATTTAGGGAACAATATCTAGGTAACAATACATGAATATTATATTTAAACACTTTATGATTTGATTGTAAAACAAATTTCACAGTCTAGAATTCCCAATGCTTTGAGAAGTAAATAATGGGGGTAAATAAAATAAAATTGGTAAGAGAACTATTTTTTTTCTTTTAGCTTCCCTTATTTTGGGGCCTTCATCTCTGCATTCCAAATTACTTCATTATTTTTAAAGTGCCATTCAATTTTCAATTGTATAACAAGTGTTTGCTAAGCAATTACGTAAATTTTCTTGTTTAGGTGGGCAATTAGATGAACTGAATGCTAAGATATTTTAAGCTAATATTCTTGCATGAAAATCTAAATTTTCTCATTTTCCAGAGAAATGTTAATAAATTTTACTCAGCCATGCAATTAAATAAATGCCAACACTTAGATTATTACTATTCTTAACAATTAACAAATTTCACAAATACTTCCAAAATTAGAGTGGTGTAAAGAGTAGTCTTGGATTGTGAATGACCTCATTTTACAGTTTACTAATCTATAAATGAACATTAAGTACCTAATAATAATGCCATTGTCATGTTTAAATACTTTATATTAGTAAAGAAGCTATAACAGATTTTCCATAGCATATATTCAAAATATATTATTTCTCTTTTCCTCTCCATTTTTAAAAATAAACCACACAGTCATGCCCATTAAATATAACCAGATATATTTACTTGCTTGGTTTTCCTTTTGTTTTTTCTTGTCGGGGAATTATAGGGATAAGGAAGAGATTGATTTTTGCTTTTTTTTCTGCTGAAGTTATAAATGCTTGAATTTGGAATTATTTTGTAATTCTAGTTGAAATGTGAAGGAGCATTTACTATAGGAAACATATGGTCCTATAAACCAGTATCAGCAGTTTTCAGGTAATCAATAAAATAAATACGAGATATCCCCATGATACCGCTATTGTCCAATAAACGATTACCTGTTACACAGTGTCCTTTGCATTGTGTAGGATAAAATGACAGATTATGTACACCGATTTTGGTAATTTCCAGGAAACAACTGACTCACAGAAGCTTAGGTGGTGTACTTGGAATATAAATGCACATACTAATGGAGCTGATTTTATCATTCTTAAAGCATAATCAAAGTCAGTAGTTTACTACCACTGAGGAGAATGATGCTTTAGATCCCAGGGCACTTACCACAGGAAGGATACAGGGATGAGGCCATTTGTAAGCCACATCCAGAAGATGGTGAGATGACCTCTGTGTTCCTCACATAAGAAATTTAACACCAGCACTTACCCACACACACTAAAACCAAATAATTTGGATAGCCTCGTTGTGATTCACGTACATGTTTCCCAATTGCCGGCAATTTTCACTGTCAGGCTGACTAAATGCAGATCATTAACTTACAGGGTCATGTTTTTCAGGCCGTTTTGGTATTATGTAAGAACATTCTCAAATCTATAATAGCAAGCTCTACCCAGTAATATTTATAGAAGCGTATGTGTAATTGTTAGTAGGAGAAATATCTGAAGACGATTTTATTCGCTCTGTAAATATGTAGGTCAGGGTCTTAAGAAAATGCTCATTGTAAACATTTCTTTTTTGGACAGGGAGATGTCCCTGATGTTCCCCCTAGATGTCCATTGAAGTACTACTCATGGGAGATTTTATTTAGGCCACCTAGCATTTTGCTGAGCATTCTGGTTGTCAGAAAAAGATAAAGCACCTGCTGTTATGTTGTTGCTCACTAAGTAGAGAAGGGGTCCAATGGCTAAACCGACGATTTCAACTCACGGTGGCAAAGAGCATCACGAGCATGCTCAGGAAGCACGCTGAGGAGGCGGGCACCCAACCGAACCTGCAGAGACGGAGGACATCTTTCTGGGGAGACAATACCTAGACTGAGTTGTACAAGATGAATACGATTTAGTTGTGTGGCGTGATGTTTCAGGTAAAGCGTTCATCTTGAGAAAATGCATAGAATAATAATAATAATAGGGGTCTGAAGAAGAAGATAAGAGTGGTATGGTCTGACCAGGTCTGTCAAGATAAGTAGCTGTAATGAGGGAGTGGGGAGGTCACGGAAAGCTTGTATGACTTGCAAGTGAGTTTCACCCTTATCAGATATGCAATGGAGAGCCCTTGATGTTTATTGCAAATAATGCGAGCCAGTTTTGTCATTGGCACTTACTGGTTTTTTGCTTGTTTGTTAGATATCTGTATCTTCCAGAAGTTACTGAAGATAATGGCTACAGGTGTGTCAATTGGCTTGCTTGTGGTAATCATTTCACAATGTATACCTGAATCAAAACATCAGGTTGTACACCGTAAATCTATACAATTTAATATACACAATTTTTAGGCTGCAAAAAAAAAAAAAACGAAACAACAGCCTTTGTCCTAATTCCATTACACATTAAAACATGTATTAACTAGTAGAAAAAAAGCACAGTCTGTTCTTCGAGTTGAATAAAATCCTCAGCTTTCTGTCCTTTTAGACAATCTACCATGATCTTAAATGAAAGGCTTAAGTTCAAATGTGGCAGTGTTCCAGAAGTAGTACTGTGCTGCATATCAGGTCAGAACCAGGCAGGGTGTAGGCTGTTTACCATAGAAGGGGATGGCCTCTTAGTGCCAGGTCGTCGTTCTCAGTGGAAATATATTTAGCATAGATCAACTGGCTTTGGTTTCTTCTTAAACTCTGTTCAGAAAAAACTCTGAGAGGTGGCTACTTGATATTTTAAACTTGACCACAAGTGTTGAATACCATTCATTTCAACTATGAAAAACCATTTCCATTATGAAGTAGAAAATTAAACCCTCTGGGGCTGATCCACGCGGAGCTCAGTTGAAGTATTACACTTTCTCATCTCAGGAAGGTGGGCTTCTGATGAGTCTTTCCATTGCTGACTAAGCCCCAGCACAGCAAACCTGTTCTTCATTAGGGCTCCTCAGACAGCAACTCACCACCTCCAGGGAGTAGCTTAAAACAGCTGACCCATACACATATACTGTTGAGACAAAAGTCTTTTCAATTAAAATAGAGGCATGATCACAGTGAGTTTTAAACAGGAGATTCATATGAGCAGATTCTGATTTTTGAAAGACGACAGTAAAAGCAGAATGGAAGTGTCAATTTCAGAAAGGCAAGAGGATGTACACAGGTTACCTAGGAGGTTACTGAAGCAGTCAGTGCTAAACTATTTGTATTAAGAAAAAAAAAGAGCTTAAGAGAAATGCACATTTATACTGTTGTGTCAAACTCCAAAAATAAATGGAAATTGTGTTAAACAATAACTAGTATAGATGAGTAATTTTAAATATATGTATATATATATTTATTTGTATTTCTACCAGATGTGTGTATTAAATATAGATATAGATATAGATATAATAAAACACAGGCTAGAGTTTATTAAATTACTATCCCTTATGATCACAGCCCTGAGGTCCATTATACCAGTTTGGTTGTTCTTATCTCTTTATTGTTTACATCCATTTTCTATGCAAAATGTGAAAGGAGCTACCTCTCTAAAACCCTCGGAAAGATTTTCACCTTGAAAATAACAAAAAATGGACAGCTTCTTGTAAATCTAATCAAAGCTCTAACATGTTTTGACCAGTTACATAGTTTTTAAAAGGTGAGGGACAGTAGAGCTAATTTAAAATGCTAACAAGTTTTTAGGTAATCAATCTTAACAATTAGATGATTAATAGCTGGGGAGTTAATCATCCCCAGTCACAAAAGAATGGCTCTGCTCCTGCTTCATACACAATTAATTGTGAGCCAGCAACGTCTTGCCATTATCTACTGTGTCTGAACAGCTATTGAGTTGAGGTTTCCTTTATCATCTGATGATGTATAATTTGATTGTTTCCCTTAAAACTCATTCCTAACCAAAAATCAAAAGAAACATACTGAGACTTTGATGATGAAAATAATATATCTAACATTTAAAATAAATAGATTTTATAACTTGGTGACGAACTCAGTTTGCTCTCTTTCCCTACTCCAATAAAAATTATTGGTTCTGAAACTAATTTTGACATTTAATATCACATTAACTTTCATTGTCATTTAATTGCTCCATGTCCTCCTTGTTTTCCCATAGATTTTAAACCCCTAGGCCTTGGACATATTTCTGAATTCCTCATCCCATTTTATAACATTGTACACATCCAATAAATGTCCACAATATAATTGAACAGAATTGAGATCATGACGTTTTATCTCAGTAACTTGATAGGCTTGTAATTATACAGTATGCCCTAAAGTGTTGAATTACATAATCTCTACCCCCTTTTATTTTCTTTTACCTGATTCATTTCTTATTTATAACTAATGTTTATTAATATGTAAATATGCCCCATCCTTTCCTCCTGACCGCAACATATATATACAAGGACTGTGGTTTCTGTTTTATTTACATTTGTGACCAGTTTCTTGAATGAGTGGCTAAATAATTCAGTGAATAGAACTCCTACTATCTGTTTCATTGACTTAGTGAGTTTTTAATTCTCTCACTTAGTGAAATTTTACTTGTCATCCTTGTTTTTATTTCCACCACTTCCCATTCCTAAGGATGCCTTCTATTCTATACCTTAGTTTTAGATGGTTACCACATTGATGAATAATAATCAATTCTTTTTATTTTATATGAATGCAACATCAGCTTCCATTTTCAAAGGAACCTTCTATCCACAGAACACAAACTAGGACCGTGCTAAAATTTCAGGAGCCTAGTGTTTATTGTGTTCATAAACTCATGACATTTTCCAGCTTGAGGTGATTTAAGAGGCCATGTAGCACAAACTTGTATTTTACAGATGAGAAAACTGAGCATTGAGCAAGTTAAATGATGT